>NC_000010.11:85900671-86052186 GCF_000001405.40 Homo sapiens
TCCCACAGCCTTGGCTGAGCTGTAATTTAGTGATCCATGGACACATGTTTCTCATCCATGACACTCTAAGCTCTCTGAGGGTGAGGGACTCATCTTTCAAATTCTTATGAGCATCCCTGGTGCTTCACAGGTGTTCAGTACATGTATGACGAATGAACAATAGCTTGTCAAGAGTTACATATCATGGGAGGGAGAGAGGCCATGAAGGAAAAAGATAAGGATCACTGAAGAATCACAGAGTAAGTTATATGCAGTGTGGAAAGAAGGAAAGACCATGGAAGACATTAATAAGTATTGCAAAAAGTGGAGGAGGCAGTAATTTGAACTGTCTTAAAGGATGCATGAGACTTCAGGAAGAACTAGGGTCGCAGCAGGCCCAGAACAGAACTATAAATGCTGCGACGCGGATTCATAACAAGTAACAAGAGGAATTAATTCCTCAAGTCAGTGTGTTTTTATTTACTAAAGTACAAAGGCAAACTTTCCCACAGGATGTGAGTCACTTGTTACAAAGAAGAGCTATCTTTTATTTATTTATTCATTTATTTTATTTTATTTTATTTATTTATTTATTTATTTATTTATTTATTTTGAGACAGAGTCTCGCTCTGTCGCCCAGGCTGGAGTGCAGTGGCATGATCTTGGCTTACTGCCAAGCTCTGCCTCATGGGTTCACGCCATTCTCCCACCTCAGCCTCCCGAGTAGCTGGGACTACAGGTGCCCGCCACCATGCCCGGCTAATTGTTTTTGTATTTTTAGTAGAGACGGGGTTTCACCGTGTTAGCCAGGATGGTCTCAATCTCCTGACCTCGTGATCTGCCCGCCTTGGCCTCCCAAAGAAGAAGAGCTATCTTTTAAGCGTGCTTGCTGTCTGCCTGACACTGTGTTAGGCCACTTCCTATATGTTAGCTCATTTAATCTTCATGACTGTCCTAGGAGGTAACTATCACAAAGTCTACTGAGTAAATGATGAAAATATGGCTCAAGGAAGGAAATAAAACAGTCACAGAAGTGGTCAGTATTGCAGCCAGAATCATATCCATGGTGTGTTCCCAAAGACTGTGATCTAAAGCACAATGGTATGTCACTTCTTCCTCGGTCCTGCTCCCAAAACCCATCATCTGTGCAGCTGCAAACACCGTCTCCACAGGGCTTTTCAAAGGGCTAAAGAATGATACTGCAGAACAACGATGACCTCATATATCTGCAACCATAAATGTTAAATCTCATAGGTTCCTTTACGGCTGAGAAAGAAGAATAGATCTATTGTGATTAACATATAGAAGTGCATTTCCAGTAAATAGGGTTTGTTTCCTTCTGGTATTCCTCATGGGACATACATAAGCTTGTTTGTGTGGGCTTTTGCAAGGTTCTTTCACGTTTGCCATAATAGATTTTAAAAATAAGGCACTAATGTGCAAAATAACATAAAGGGTACAAATCTAATCAAGCAGCTCCCTCTTATCCTCGGGGAATGCATTTCAAGATCCCCAGTGGATGCCTGAAACTGCAGATAGTACCAAACCCTATATATACTATAGTTTTTTCTATCTGATAACCTAGTAGTAGGTGACTAATGGGTGGGTGGTGCATACAGTGTGGAGACCCTGGATAAAGGGATGATTCATATCCTGGGTGGGACAAAGCAGTACAGCGAGAGCTTTCATCACACTATGCAGAAGAGCATGCGATTGAAAAACGTATAAATTATTTATTTATGGAATTTTCCACTTAATACTTTTGAACCTCAGTTGACAGTGGGTGACTGAAACCATAAAAAGTAAAACCGCAGATAAGGAGGGACAACTGCAATAAATTAACAAAAGTTTCATAGTAGGACTTTCCATAATACAAACTATATTACTGTTTCTAAGTTATGAAAAATTCAGATATTGCTGGGATTCCATAACTTATTCAGCATTCAACCAGTGCTGGGAGTGAGAGGGAAGATAAGGGGGGAGCCGTGTGGCATCGGGTATGGAGTTCTTAAATTCGAAGTCACTCAGATCTCAAGTCCTGATTCTGCCACTTACTAATTATGTGACATCAAACTGTTTTCTTATCTGTAGGATGGTATAATAGAAGTTGGAGTTCTTGAGGGTTCTGTCCTCCCACCTTTCCCGGCATTCCCCTTCTAGGTCACGCACCCTCCTGGCAGCATCACCAGACATCATTGACCTCTCCTTCCCTTTGAAATGGTTTCTTCACTTGGCTTCTGGGACCCCCCCACAACACCTGTCCTCCTCCTCCACCTCAGGCTGCTCCTGGTCAGCATCCATGGTGAGTTTCTCCTCCTTTCTCTGGCTTCACATGCCCCAGAGGTGCCAGGGTTTGGGCCTCTTCGCATTTTTAGTAATGCAACCCCTCTGTGGTCTCATCCAGTCACATGAGGTTCAATATCCCCTATATGCAGATGGTTCCCAGATTCATATCAACAGCTTTACCCTCCCTCTGAACTCCAGACTCATAGAGCCACATGTCTAGTGTCTACATACCATCTCTGTGTAATGGTCTAATAGGTATCTCAAAATTAACAGATTCAAACCAAATTCCTGATCTTACCCCTGAAATATTCAATCTCCTCATCTCAAGAAATGTCTTCTCTTTTCAGTTCCTGAAGCTAAAAACAAACAAACAAATGAAAACTCTAGAATCATACTTGATGTTTCTCTTTTCTCATAATCCACATCTAATCCAACAGCAAATCTTATCGGCTCCCCACCCCAAATATATTCAGAATCCAACTACTTCTTACCTCCTCCATACTACCCCATAGTCCAAACCACCACCCTTCCTTTCCTAGATAATCACAATAGCCTGATAAATAGTTTATTTCATCCCTACCCTCCTCACCACCTCACTTACTCTTAAGGCAGCTACCAGGGTATAGTTTCAAAAAAATATATATATATATTGCCCATCTTTTGCTCAAAACCCTCCTCTTGCTTCCAACTTCACTCAGAATAAGAATCGTGTCTTACAAAGGCCAGAAAAGTTCTACATGACCTGGCCTCCTGCCATGCCTCTAACCCCTCTCCCACCACTCTCTCCATCACTCACTCTGCTCCAGCCACACTGGCCTCTGTGCCATTCCTAAAGCCTAGCCACAGACTCCCACTCAGAGACTTCACACCTGTTCTCTCCTTCAACTGGAATGCTCTTCCTCCAGAAATATGCACAGCATCCTCACTTCCTCACTTCTTCAAGTCCCTGTTCAAATGTTACCTCATCAAATAGATTTCTCATGGGCACCCTATGTAAAGTGGAATCCATTCCTTCTCCCAACAGATTTCTCATGGGCACCCTATGTAAAGTAGAATCCACTCCTTCTCCCTCTTTTTGCCTTACATGATTGTATTACTCTACATAGTATCTAACAAATTCATCAAATTATAAATGTAATAATTATCTGGTCATCTGTCTTGCCCCATTGAAAATGTGCTCCACAATACCAGGAGTTTTCTGAGAATTAAATAAGATAATAAAGATGATGCCTATAATTAACCAAGATGGAGTAACAGGGATTGGATTTACCCTCTGACCTGAAATAACCAAAAAGACTAGGAAAAACCTATGAAAAAATAGTTTGCAAGACACTGGAAAATAGGCAATGAAGAATAGCGATCCTTCAAGACAGGAAACAAGGTGAGTTTTATGACTGAACTAAATCTCTGCCTTTAGAGAATTTCCATGACACAGTGCAGGTGGGGAGAGGAAGCATGCAGAACCCAGTGGACTCCATGTGTTAAGGATATGGACCCAAGAGAATGGAAGAGCAAGGCAGTTAGAGTTTGCAGGAAAGACTACTAGAGAGAAGAAAACTGCACAGAGAGAGAAAAATGTGGTCACTTCCAGAGGGTCCCCCATGACAATGCTGAGCAGAGTGCTGACCCAGAACTAAAACAGAATTAGAATTAGCAGATAATTACCCTAAACAGTTATTATAACTACTTTTTTTACATTCAAAATATAAGTAGAGACATTGAAGATTTAACGAAAAAACTCAAAAACTTCTAGAAATCAAAACTACAATGTATGAAATTAAAAAAAAAAACACTGGACAGAATAGTTGGCAGATTAGACATCGACAAACAAAATATCACTGAATCTGAACACATAACAATAAAAATTACACAAAATAAAATAGAAAAAATAAGAGAAAAAGAACATCAGTGACGTGTGGGATAACTTCACAAAAACCTAGTATCTGCGTAACTCAAAATCTCAAGTAAGAGGATATGGAGGCAGAAAAATATTAGAAAATATAAAAGATTTTTTTCACATTTTGCAGTAATAATGGATTAAAGTTTTGATGAAAATTATAAGTACACAAGTCCAAGAAGCTCAACAAAGTGCAGGCACACACACAAAAATAAAAACAAGAAGAAAACCATGCCAAGGTACATGATAATCAAATTGATCAAAACCAGAGAAAAAGAAGAAACATTAAAAGAAACCAGAGATAAAGAGCATGTTATATACAGAAAAACAAAAGTAAGGACAATATCAGATGCTTATCAGTAATAATATGAGGAGGAAGATAGTAAGGCAACATTTTTAAAGTACTGAAAGGAAATACTGTTAACCTAGAATTCTGTACCTAGTAAAAATATCTTCCAAAAATGAAAGTGAAATGAAGTCATTTTCAGACATACAAAAGCGGCAAGCATTCACCACCAGCAGAACTGTACTATAAGAAATGTCAAAGGAAGTCTTTCAAGCAGAAGAGAAATGATACCAGATCAAACTACGGATCTTCGCACCAAAAATATAAATAGCACCTGAAATGATAACGGCAGAGAAAAGTATTTAAGATTATTTTCTTATTACTTAAATCTCTTTAAAAGATAACTGACTGTTTTAATAAACATAATAACTATGTATTTTTGTGTATATAACACATATGAAAGTAACATTTATTATAACAATTACATTGAGTCGGGAGGGTAACACGGAGGGATACTATTGTAAGATACTTATACTGAAATATATGTGGTGTAGTATAATATCACTTAAAAGTAGATGGTGGTGAATTAAAGATGTATACTATAAATCCTAAGCAACTACTAAACTTTTTTAAAAGAGTTATAGCTCATAAGCCAATAAAAGTTAAAATAGAATCATAAAAAATTCGCAATTCACCCATAAGAGGTTTTAAAAGAGAAAAAAGGAATCAAAGGAAATGAAACAAATACAAAATGGCAAGAAGACAGCCTTGAACCTAACAATATTGATGATTACATTCAGTATAAATTATCTAAAATTCCTCAATTAAAAGGTGAAGACTGTTATAATGGATAAAATAGCAAGACCTAAATAAGTGCTGCCTCCAGGAAATATACTTTAAACATAAAGAAACAAGTATGTTAAAAGTAAGACAGTGAAAAAAGGTATTATACTAACACAAGTCAAAATAAATATAGAATGGCTGCAGTAATCCCAGATAAACTATATTTCAGAGCAGAAAAAAATACCAGGGACAAATCCTAATTTAAGTCCTAATGATAGAGGGTTAATAAATCAAGAGAACATAAAAATCCTAAGCATTTATGCCCCTTGAAATAAAGCTTCCAAATATATTAAGCAATAACTGGTAAAACTGAAAGGAGAACAAACAAACTCACAATTAAGGATGAGTATTTTAATACTCCTCTCTAAATAATTGATAGAAAAAGTAGACCAAATAATCATAAAGGATACAGAAGGCGCAATCAACACTCAACTAAAATGACCTAATTCACATTTATGAAACATTCCACACAACAGCAGATAATGGATCCTTTTCAAGTATACTTGAAATATCTAGCAGGAAAGACAATATACTGGCTATCAAATCAGTCTCAATAATTTTAAAAGGATCCAAATAATAGAAACTCTATCCTCTAACCACAGTGGAGTTAAATTAGAAATCAATAGCAGAAAGATTTCTTTAAAATCCCCAAATATTTGGAAACTAAAAACATACTTCTAAAACCCATGGGTCAAAGAAGGAATCCAAAAGTAATATAGAAGTATTTTGAACTAAATAATGAAAGCACAACATATCAAGATTTGTGGGATGTCACTAAATCACTTAAGGGGAAACATAGCAAAGAAAAAGACAGGTCTTAAATCAATGATCTCAGCTTACTCCCTAGAAACTAGGGGAAAAAAGAGCAAATTAAAGCCAAAGTAAACAGAAAAAAGAAAATAAGGAAGACAAAACAATAAATTAATATAAATGGAAATTGAAAAACAATAGAGAAAATCAATGAAATTGAAAACTGGTTCTTTGAAATGAATAACGTCAATAAACCTCCAATCAGACTGATCAATAAAAAAAGAAAAGAGACAAGTAATGAATATTATATATGAGAAAAATCACATGTCTACAGATTCAACAAATATTGAAAGGATGCTAGTGGGATATTATGAACTTCATACCTATAAGTTTTTTTGTTTGTTTTGTTTTGTTTTTTTGAGACAGTCTCACTCTGTTGCCCAGGTTGGAGTGCAATGGCACAATCTCGGCTCACTGCAACCTCCACCTCCAGGGTTCAAGTGATTCTAATGTCTCAGTCTCCAAAGTAGCTGGGATTACAGGGGTGTATCACCACACCTGGCTAATTTTTGCATTTCTAGTAGAGATGGGGTTTCGCCATGTTGGCCAGGCTGGTCTGGAAGACCCAACCTCAAGTGATGTGCCTGCCTCGGCCTCCCAAAGTGCTGGGATTACAGGGGTGAGCCACCATGCCTGGCCCATACCTATAAATTTGACAACTTAGATGAAACGGAAAAATTTCTGGAAAGACACAAATTACCAAACTTACTTGAGAACAAATAGATAGCTCTATCTCTAATACATAAATTTAATTTGTAGTTAAAACACTTCCCTAAAGAAAACTCCATGCCCAGATGGCTTCATTGGTAAATTCTAACAAACATTTAGTGGAAAAAATAATAATTATTTATGAACTCTTTCAGAAACTGTAAAAGAGAGAATACTTCCCAACTTACTTTTGAGGCCAGCATTATGCCAATGCCAAAACTAAAGACAGACATCAAAAGAAAAAAAATTAAATACCAATATACCTGGTGAACATAGGAGAAAAATTCTAATCAAAAATTTAATGAATCAAATATAATCAAATAGAACAATATATACAAAGGATAATATAATATGAAAAGTAGGTTTTATCCCAGAGATGTTGGATTGCTGTAATGTTAGAAAATCAGTCAATGTAATTCAGCATATTAATAAACTGCAAAAAGAAAAACCATATGATCATCTGAACAGATGCAGAAAAAGCATTAGATAAAATCCATTATCATTTCCTGATAAAAACTCACCAGTCTAGGAATGGAAGAGAACTTTCCCAATCTGATAAAGAACATCTATAAACAACTTACAGCTAACCTGATACTTAATGATGAAAAACTGTGTGTGTTCCCTCTAATATCAGGAATACGAAAATGATGTCTCCTGTCACCACTTATATTCAATATTGAACTGGAGGTACTAATCAGTGCAATCAGGCAGAAAAAAGAAATACAAGGTATCCAGATGGAAAGGAAGAGGTAAAACTGTCATATTCCCAGAGGACATGATAGTCAAGAATATTTTCTCTAAGAAAATCTAATGGAATCTATGAAAAACTCCACTAGTTTTGGTAAGTGGGTTTAGCAAAGTTCTAGGATACAAGATCAATATGCAAAAATCAATTGCATTTGTATGTTCTACCAATGAACAACTGGAAATTAAAATTTGTTTTAAACTATAATTTTCAGTAGCACTGACAATATAAAATTCTAAGGGATAAATCTCACAAAAATATGTGAAAAATCTGTACACTGTAAAAGATAAAACATTGAGAGAAATTAAAGAAAATCTAAATAATTAGGAAGATATGTCTTGTTTGTGGGTGAGATGACTCACTATTTTTATGACATCAATTCTCCCAAAAATGGAGTACAGATTCACTGCAATCCCAAATAAAATCCCAGTCAGCTTTTTTTAGAAGCTGACAAGCTGATTTTAAATGTATACAAAAATTTCAAGGACCTAAGATAACCAAAACAATCTTGAAAATGAAGAACAAGGCAGGAGCCTAACAAAATGTAATTTCAAATCGTATCGTAAAGCTAAAGCTATAGTAATCAAAAGAATGTCGGATTGGCATAAAGACAGAAAAAAATAGATCAATGGAATAGAATCAAGAGTCCAGGCAGTTTTCAGATACTACACGAAAAACATAATTCTTAAAAGAATAAATTGATAAGTTAAACTTCATAAAAATTTAAAATGTCTGTTCTTCAAAAGACAGTGCTCAACTGAAAAGATAAGCCACAGGCTGGGAGAAAATATTTACAAAGTATATATCTGATTTTTAAAAAATCTTTTATCCCAATGTAAAAAGAATTTTCAGAACTCAATAATAAGAAAACAAAAAATCCAATATAAATGGGTAAGTTGTTTAAACAGATACTTTGCCAAGAAGATACCTAGATCTAAATGGCAAATAAGCACAAGAAAAATGCTAGGAAGTATTGTCAGTTATGAGGGAAATGAAAAATCAACATCACAGTGAGGACCATTACACACCCATCAGAGTGACTATAATCAAAAACCCCGACCATACCAAGTACCGAAGAGGATATGAAGCAACTGGAACTCTCAGCAACTTGGCAGTTTCTTGAAAAGTTAACATAAATCTACCATAGGGGTTGGCAATTCCACTTGTAGGTATGAGCCCCAGAAAAAGGAAAGTATATGTCCATACAAAGACTTATACATAAATGTTCATAGTAGCTTTATTTGTAATAGCAAAAAACCTAAAACAACCCAAATGTCCATCAACAGCGGAACAGATAATCATATTGTGGTATATCCATGAACAAATAAATATTCCTCATCAATTAAAAGGAAAGAACTATTGCTACACATTGCAACATAAGATGAATCTCAAAATAATTTCATTGAGTAAAATAAGCCATACCAAAAGCAGAAGAGTACACACTCCATAATTCCACTTACATAAAACGCAAAGATACAAATAATCAGTAGAGCCAGAAACAGATCAGTAGTTGCCTAGAGAGTGGGTGAGAGTGGGCCAGGAGGGTGGCATTCCTGAGGACCATGAGGGCACTTTTGGGGTGACAGATACGTTCACTACCTCTATTGTGGTTATGGTTTCCTGGGTATATACATATGCCAAATTTAACAACTTGTACACTTAAGTATTGTATGTATTGCATGTCAATTAAACCTCAACAAAGCTGTTACTTTTTCAGTAATAATAATTAAAAAAACATAATGAAGGTGATACTCAAAAACAATGTCTGGCTCCATCTAAGGTCTGATAAATGGCAACTCCTGGTCTTCATTCAAGAGTTCTGAGCTGGGACTACAGAGGCAGTAAGATATGCTCCCTGTCCTCAAAGATTCCTCAATGAGGCTGGGAGAGAAACAAGTAAAAAGATTATGACAAACGTAATTGTTTTCGAGTGTTACTAAATTAAATTTGAAGATGGTAAATGGTATAGGGACTGAACAGTCCAACAGAATTGGAATCTTCAAAATAAAAGGAAGAAAAAAATCTTTTCCTTCCCTCTCTTTCTCTGGGTCCCAAATAGAGATTTCTTGAAGCTTTGTGATTCAGCATTCATATCATGGTCTTTTTCTTTGTTTTCTTCAATTAGAGCATTCGCATCTTCCTCTCCCACATTATATATGTGGTGCATAATCTTATTTTCATTTGTTTTACCTTGGTGTGTGCTTTAGGATAGGGAAGATTTGAAAGTCTGGAGTGATGTCCCTGGACTGTTGACAGAGGCCACTCTAAGGGCAAGGACTGATCCCTAAGGATCCTCACTGAGTACTCGTTGGTGACAAACTAGTGTAAGTGATAAGATGGGGGCTGGGGCCTGAGACTCAAAAACAGGAGAGCATCTAGGCAGAAGGTGCTGAAGAAGACCACACACTGGGATGACTTTGTCCTTTGGGTGGCAGATGGGGGGTCTCTTAGGATACAGTCAGATTGTTTAACCCAGTGAGCTCTTCTGTGTGTCAGACCCTCATGCTAGGAACTTTAGGGAACCTCAGAGAAAAGAGATCAGCTTGTTCAGGGAATCAGGCATGTGCATCAATTCCCCAACACAGCAGAACTGGGGTGAGGCTGTGAAAAAATCACCCTACTGGGGAAATACAGAAGTCCTTTTGGCAGAGGCAATGTTAAGCAGATGTCTGCAAGAAAGGGAAGTCCTAGACAATCACAGATTCAGAAGGACATGGCAGGTGGAAAGAAAAACCCTGCCAAAACCCCAAAGCTAGGAGGGAAAAATAAATGCAAGAAAGAAGTCACTCATCCATTTGCAGGGATGACCCATGAGATATGAACGCAATAGTAAGAAGTAAATAAGGGTATAAATGTGGGGTCAGGGTCATCCTGCAGAGGGCTGCAGCAGGCTGGATGAAGTGGGCAGATTTCTTAAAGCTATGTGATTCAGCATTCATATCACAGTCTTTTTCTTTTATCATGCCTTTGTTTTTTCTGTGTCTGAGGAGCCAACCAGAAGGATGGGGACAGTGGTCTCTGAGATCAGGAGCACCAAGAGAGAACCAGTTTTGGGGAGGATGGTGAGTTTGGAAAGAAGTACGCTGAGTTCGAGGTGGTGATGGAGCTTCCAAGTGGCCAAGTCAAGAGGATCTTGAGTCAAGCTGGATCTCTGGATCTGGAGCTCAAGGGCAAGGTTTGGAATGGACGTGAGATGTGGAGTCACCGACTTACACTGACAATCGGGAAGAAGTGGCAAGGGCCTGCTGACTATACCTCCTCCCTTTTTAGAAGTCACCTCCTCCTGGCCGCTGCTGACCCACAGATCACCTCTTAGAGACTCACTCTCTGAGAAAACCCAGGTGCAAAGGTTATGTGTGCATACCCACATCATCTGTTAAGCATCTTAAACCATTTCCAACAAAGTATGTGTGTGCTTTGGTTCAATGTCTGGAAGAATTCATGTAACAATGGAAGCTGCCCAGCAACAAACACAGTGCTTCAAGTCCCCATCAACCTTGGTTCTTCAAGAGGCTGGAGAGTCATACTGATTTTTCTATAGGAGAATTCCCTGCACAAAGTTCCCAAGAGGCCAGACCCACAGGGATCACTGACTCTCCTGGCATCTGCTGGAGGATGTGTGGAGAGGAAACATTTTACCTCAGCTGCTAAAGAGGCTCCAAAAGCCACCCAGCTCATCCAGAGTCAAGGCTGACTGGGCTTGAACTTGGCAACATCTAATGAATGACCCAGAGAGGTCCTTTCCATCGCTGAAACTCAGGACTTAATTGTTGCCTTTGTCTTTTCTCTGAGGCAGACAGGGAAATGCTTGTCAATGCAATTTGCTCTACACTATGTACATTGACCTGCCTTCAAACAAACCTTTGAAGAATCTATTCCTTGCTCAGGGCATTGAGGATTCAGTGATGAGCTGAATCTGGCCATGCCCTCAAGGGACTCACAGTTCAGTGGCCACCTTGACTAATGGTTCATTTTGTTTTCCACAAGTTCTTTTGAATCCCCTACCCTCTCTAAGGTAATCTGCAACCTAATCAGTCAATAAAAATATTCTTTAAATACTTCTAGCAGATATAAAAACACATCCGCTCTCCAGTGTCCCCACAGTAGTGCCCAGAGGCCTATAGGAACTGTTGGTAGGACTCACACTCACAAAGCTTCCTCTGCGTGCAATTATTTCGTCTCCAAATAAACCAGGTCTGTAATACGTAGCACCAATACTCACCAGAAAGAAAAGAGGGTAGATGTAAAGAAAGCAAATAAAAACGTGTGCCCTCAAGTGTTTATTCTGAATCCAGGAAAATGCATAAAACAAATCAAATACAGAGGAGGAAACTGAAAGGCAGAGCCTGTAAGGAATGAGAGGGAGCTGGGGGCACAGCTGGAGGGCCATGCTGGAGGCCCCAGAGACACCTGCGGTGGTCGGGGAGGCACAGACCTGAGCTTGTTTGAGGAACTGAACTTCCTCCAGAGAAGTGGGGAGCAGTTTCAAGAGGTGGGAAGACAAGGACCCAGTGAAGCAGCTGAATTCTGGAGCATGTTGGAAAGTGAGCCAGTAAATGCCTGCCCCTGACTTTCTCTTTTTCTTTATTTTCCCCCTTATTTTATCTCTAGTGATTATATAAGACAAACAGGAAGGTGGCTGAGAAACCATTTGTCTGTGGCTCTATACTTGGATAGCTTAAAAACTGAGCAAAGCCTAAAATGATATCACATTATAATAAGAATAACAGGACTTTTGTGTTCAATTGGGGCCATGCTAAAACCGGAAACAGTAGTCCTGAGTATAGCTGGATCCTAAGGATAAGCCTACTTGTAATTTGGAAAACACCACGGTCCTTAACCAGAGGCTACCCTGGGGTGCCTGGGTGAAAGCTTTCCAACAGGCCCTACCTTCTGATAGAAGACTTCAAAAAAGTCCCTGAGCTGGCACCAAAGGCCAGCCCAAGAGTATTCCCCATCAGTGTGCATACCTGACCCCCACTGACTGACTTCACTGAATCAGATACTGACTGTGAGTTATAGATCTTTGCCAAGGCCATGTGCATGAAACTACTGTTTGATGGAAAAATTTGGAGCCAGACAGTCCTCAAATAGGATCCCAGATACACCATTAATAGCTGCATGACCTTGAACAAGTGATTTAACCTCTGGAGACTCTGTTTTCCCATCTGCAAAATGAGGATAATGACAACCGCCACACAGGGCTGTTGATGAGGACTAAGAAGGTAACAAATGCACTGACAAGTGCCTGGCACATAGTAGGTGATTAAGAAATATTAGCTGGCTGGGCATGGTGGCTCACGCCTGTATCCCCAGCACTTTGGGAGGCTGAGGAGGGCAGATCACTTGAGGTCGGGAGTTCGAGGCCAGCCTGGCCAACATGATAAAACCCCGCCCTACTAAAAATACAAAGATTAGCTGGGTGAGCTGGCACACGCCTGTAGTCCCAGCTACTCAGGAGGCTGAGGCAGGAGAATTGCTTGAGGCCCGGGAGGCAGAGGTTGCAGTGAGCTGAGATCACACCACTGCACTTCAGCCTGGGTGACAGAACAAGACTCCAGTCTCAAAAAATAAAAAATAAAGATAAAAAAAGAAATATTAGATGTTGTCCCTTGCCTCATAGAAAAGGAAGCCAAGAAAGGAGGAAGATGAGGCTCCCTGGAGGCCCCTCACATTTGGAGGAGGACACACTCAGCTCAGAGATATTCACACCATCCATGTGCACTGCCGGGCTGGCACAGGGTACACTGCTGGCCATGGTGAGACACCACAATCCTCTCAGTAGAAGCCGCTCCAGTGTGGCTCCAACAGGTATACCCCATATCTGACTCCTCCTGATGACACTAAACCCTGGGTTCCAGCTGCCCCAGTAATGCCAATGTGCCTACCAGTATGGAATGCCCTAGGGGCACCGCACACTGGTTAGTCTGAAGTTAACGCCAGCCCTGAAGAGTGAGTCAAGAGGGACAGACAGGGGGCCCCTGAGGGTGGGTGGGGATTTGGAGAAAGAAAAGAAAACAGGTTAGGAATGTAAAAACGGAGTAATTCTTTTGAAGACTGGCAACAGAGAAACACTGGCTATCCAGTTTGGAGGATTCATCAAAAAAGTAAAACCAGCATCAGACATTTGACTTCAGGGCCACATGGAATGCATCGTTTCTTTGGAACAAAGAAAACTGGACTATGAAGAGCCACAGAGAAGTCAGCAAACCCCAGAGAATCCAAACTTCTCAAGGATCAAGGCAGTCTCTCACAGGCTCTGAAAACAGGAGGCGGCAGTCATGTCCCTTCTAATTACCAGCACAACCACCTGCACCCCACGGTAAATGGACGGTTACTGCACGTCCCCAGCTGCCCTCTGTGGACATGGAGCTAATAAGATGTGAATTCATGGAGGAAAATCTACGAAAAGTGGACTTTGCAAGTAGTTACAATCTGATACTACCTGCACAATTATTAAAATAAGCCACCCAAGACTATTTCAGCCATATTAGCAAAGAACTAATGAGGAAACAGACATCATAAAAGAATGAATTACCTACATAATAAACCTGCATCTTCCAGAATGAAGCCATTAGAAATTGATCAGTAATTTAGGAGCAGCTGAAGGCCATAGCCATGATGAAAGCTTGCACCAGGAACACATTCTGAGTCAGCTTTTAGTGAATATAGTGCACTGAGGTCACACAGGCCACCCCGGTAGTGCTCCTCAAAGGATATGTGGGCAGAGGGGATTCTTTGGGAAAGCTAGAGTGTGTGATTTCAGGCCACTCTTATGCAATGCCTGCAGCGTGGAGGAGGCCAGGGCCAGACAGGGTACAAGTAATGAAAAGCAGGCCAGGCCACCACGATCCCTGGTGTTGCCATTCCTCCCTGGGGCCAAACTGGTGGGATGGTCAGTCATGGGAGAGACTTTCTATTTACTCCCTTTACATGGGTACACTTATCCCTACACGTACTGGTTGCACACACAAACATACTTACACACACGCATGCACACACAAACACACATGCACATACAACCCACACAGCATTCACACAAACTCATATACAGATATATGCACTTTCATACATACACACCCAAACATATACATACACAAACTCACGTATACACACTCATGCACACACACTCATACATACATACACACTCACATGCACACATAAAATTTGCACATGCACACCCCTGTACATACACTCAACACATTCAATTCACACACAAAGACACATACACACTTGTACATGCACAATCACACACATATTCACACATACATTTATACATGCACACACACACAGACACACATATACACACACATACACTTGCACATGCATGCACATACCTGTCACACACTCAAACACATCCACACACATATACACACACCTGCACACACACATCCACGAACATGCATGTTCACACACTCACACCTACACACCACACAACTCATACACAAACACACATACACACTCACATCATAAACACAGACATACACACACACACCTGGATTCACACTCTCGCACGCATGTGCACACCCTGCATACACACTCTTGCTCACACTCATGCACACCCTTACCATCTTGCATGAAATTCAGCCTTCCTCTCCTACTCATTCCTTTGCCCCACCCCCTCTGCATCCCAATTCATGACCTGCCCTAATTGCTCCAGCCCCTGGCTCCCACTGGCTGCCTCACCTCACCTAGCACACCTCATCCCTGCCACCACTGCCCTCTGACTTTTGACTTCCTCATGGACCCAGGTCAGGATTCTTTCTCTCGTTCCCACCTGCCAGGTGAGCACCCTGCTAGGTCAAGTTCAACTCTTTGAGTTTTTGCCTGGGCTAGGTGGAGCCCCAGGATTCACAACAGCCCCCTAAGTCAGAATTGAACTGAAAAGAATCACACTGAGCTTTACAAGGGGCTAGGGGCTCAGTCCAGGCCGTGCTCATCACATTTCTAGAGCCCTTACCTCATTCACAAAGACCCAGTGGCTGTCCTTGGAAGCCAGGTTGGTCTCCACGGCCTGCAGAGAGAAAAAGAACGAACATGAACAGAAGCAAGACAGAAGCTGGCAGACACAGGATGATTGCCGAGACAGAGTTTTATAAACATTGTTCTTGGAGAATATTTTCCTCACAAAACATGCCATCCCCCTGGGGCCTGCTCTGGCTGCCTTAGCTGCAAGAAGCTTCATCTGAACACAGACATCTGATTTCCTGCTCTCCCTCCACGCACTCCTGCACCAGCCCAGAGCAAGATTAGACGCTTGGGTTCCTGCAGGCAGCACAGGGTCACAGGCACAGGCACAGGCACAGCCCCCCTTCCCTAGGAATGCCTGCAAACACCTTTCTGCAGGGGCGCTTAGGGGATGAGTGTTATCATTACTCCAGGCTACAGAATCAGGAAACTGGAACGAGGGATTTATGGGGGCTTGTCTAGTCCAGCTGTACTGAGTGACATTCAGGAAGACAGCAGCTCACAGCAGCTCTGGGGCTCCGAGTTTCCTTCAGTTCTTTAGGATCCATAGAACAAAGCTCTTTGTAGCTCCTGGGCCGTAGCCCCATCCCGTAACTCTCTATTAGTGTTTTGTTCTGTTTCTTTATGGCACTTGCCATCTTTGTGCTTGAATGGCTATCAGTTTACTTATTTCTTATTGTCTGTCTCCTCTGCTAGAATATTTCTTATTGTCTATCTCCTCTGCCATTATGTCAAAGGCCATATCTCCTAGGTCACAGCTGTGTCCCAATAGCTGTAACCAGCACACAGCAGGTATTCAGCAAACATTGTTGATTATGCAAATGAAGTGGAAGGCCAAGGCAGACAGAACTCAGTTAATTATTTTGTTTCCTGTATGTGTTTATGAGTGCTTTCCCTCTCCTTCAATTGAAAAGCCAACAGATTGGAAGAATTGGAAGAGACTGATGGTTTCCAAGCATGTCCTGTATGAATACATCCCGTGAGCAGGTGCCAAGTGCTTGCTGAGCCTGGGCACTGAGCCAGGCTGACTATGAACCTGGACAAGAGCTATCAGATTGGAGTCCTGTTTTTTTGTTTGTAATGTAATTTTATTATTCCTTTTATCAAAAAAAAAATGCAGAAACATAAAAATGCTCAACATCCCATAATCCCATCCCATTAAAAAAAATATGCTGACATAGTGAAAATTCCCCCTTTATCCCTCCAAATTTACCCTCTAAATGTTGTTTGAGGTGTCACCTTCTAGAAGATTTTACAGTTACCTCCGCAAGTAAATAGCTACAAATAGATATCAGACAAGTGTTTTCATTAAAATCAGACCATGAAATACATATCCAGTTAAGACTCTAGTTTTTGATTTATCAGTGTAACACAAATATCTTTCCTCATCAGTACACAGAGATCTGACTCACTCCCAACAAATGAGGCATGGAGGTGTCGGGGCCTGTGCCAACGACCCCACAAATGACCCTAGGTCTGCATGGTGCTGCAGCCTGCAAACTGTCATGCACAGGGTGCATCTCTCTTGCACTGGAAAGAAAAGAGGCTGCAAGGGATGCTAAGCCATGTACCTGGGTATGCTACAAGGCTGTATCCTGAAGACACTTTCCTCCCCTTTCTACAAACTCAGTTAACCGGGCTCTCTCCAGAGAAGCTGCAAGGGCTAAAGAGCCAGAGCTCAAAGGAATCTTCAGTCAGGATAGAGAAAGGAGGACACTTCAGCGTGGAGTCTCAGCCACCCCATCCAGAGCCTCTCTCCTGTCAACATGCAGACTTTCAGGGAGGTCTTCAAAAGCCTGGAAGCACTGATGAAGAGGTGGAGGGAGAAGTGGAGACAGGGTGGGCTGAGAATGCTCTGAGCGCATCGCTGGGCTCTAGCTCACCTCGATTCCCAACAATTCAACATTTCCTTGACACTCATGTGGAAGACACTGGCAATACTCTTATCAAATGTGCACAGATGCAAATCTGGAGGATGTCATAACATCTCAGTGGCTGGAACACTGAACTGAATCTAAAGACTTGTGGTTTAGCAAGACCAAACTCAAAGTCCTACACTCAGTTTCCAGGAGCAAAAAGGCAAATGGGGAAATGAAGTTTGAAAGCAACACTCTTGAGGAAAAACCAAAGGGGACTGCCTCCACCTAGCTGTCACTTAACCACTCTGGTCTCTGTTCCTTCGTAAAAGGAACAGATAACACTTGCCCCTTCCCGTCTCCCAAGGTATGTAAAAGCACATCGCTGGGCTCTAGCTCAACTCATGGAAAGGAGGGTGTGGGAGGAGTTTGTTCCACCCCTTGAAGGGTTGACCTAACCAGGTCACCCCACTTGATGAAGGACAATGCACACTATAGCCCAGTCATGGAGAGGGACAGTTAAAGTGATCAGGGATGCTTACAGGTGGGACAATATAGGTGTCTTTAAATTGTCATGTGCAAGAGAGATTGGAATTGCTCTATGCATCCTCTGAGTGTTGACCTACAGCCAATGGCTCCCATAATCAGGGAGGCAGATATCAATTCAATATAGGAGACAACTTTCTGACTTTCCAAGTCATTCAAGATGAAATGGGGTGCCTCAGGAGTAGCGACGTCCCATCCCAGGAAGTGCCTGAGCAGAAGGTGAGCAGTGCTCTCTTTACAGTGCCGTGTTTTCTAAGAAGGTTGACCATTTGTGAGAGGTAAAGCTTTATCATGCACTGACATTCTTCAGCAATGATTCTCCAGTCCGGCTGTGTTTAAGAACCTCCTAGGGAGCTTTAAAAAAGAGGGTCCCCAGGCCCCACTGCTAGGGATCCTAATTCACTGGTAATTGTGCTGTGTCTGAGGTCCTGTGCTGTTTCAGAGCTCTGACCCTGCCTCTTGGCTTCAGGGGCTGAGAGCCCTGCTTCAGAATATGTAGTTCTGTGAATCTGAAGGTCTGGGTATACCTGTGCAGGTGAGAGGTTCTCTGCTTGTCCTGGAAGAAGCCAGCAGTGCAGACAACCTGACTCAGTTGCTGGGAGACCCCAGGGAGCAGGTGGGAGCCTTGGCCACCCTAAGAAGTACTTCCACCTAGTATCAGACCCATGCAGGGAAGATATTGGTGGAGACAATTGATCAGAAAACCCCACAGGACAACTGGTCAACTTTTCTGTCCTACTTTTCCTCACCAATTAAGCATCAGCTAATTTGTTAAGCCTCTTTTCCCCACATGGAGATAAATAGTGCTTTTCTGCAGCCTTTTCCAGAGGGTGCCACTCGCACAGAGGCTGAGATAGATGGAGAGAAGGAGAAGCTACAGCAGATTTAGCAGGAACACTGCCTGCCTCCCCCTGTCCCCCATCAACCCGCGCCACTCCAGCAATTACTGGAGGGCTGCCAGCTCTGTGGGAAGAGCCCTAAATGCTCACACCCCAGTGGGCAATGTCCCTCCCAGCACCATTAATTCCCCTTCTAAGTGCTGCCCTTTTCCTTTTCCTCTCCAGCTACAACTGCAGCAGGTGGAGGCAAGTCCTCCCTTTCGTCTGCAGAGTGAGAACACTATAGAGAGTTCCAGCAGGCAGGCAGAGTACATTGGAATCCCAGTTCTGCCACTTCCTGGCTGAGTGCTCCTGGGTGAGCCTTTTCACTTCTCTGAGCTGCAGTTTCCACACCCATAAGGCTTTTGAATACCAACAGTGCTACAGGGGGCTCTGCCCACAGTCCCTGTGAATCCTGTTAGCATTTTTTATTACACTGACTCAGCATGTTTGCTCACTCCCAACACCAGCCAACACCCCCAATTCAGGCTGCCTGAACCCTGCTTGGCACTCACGGTGCCTTGGAATGCACACCCCTAACCAGGGGCCCAGAGTGCCACGAAAACAAATCCCAGCTGCCTTGCTCCCTACTGGGGACTTCTCCAGAGTGTGATCTCAGCTTTTCAGGATGGAGCCAAAATCACCTTGTTTGGCTTCCTTTATGTTCCTGTTCCAAGTCCCCACTTCCCTGCTGTCTTTCTTTTTTTAAGTCCCCATAATTTTTAATAAATCATTGTCACACACAAAAATTCATCTCCAAGTCTACTTCTGCGAAGTCAACTTGAGACAAACACCTCCCACTTAGGGTTATTGTGAGAGTCAAATGAAATTACAGGTGACACTTCCAGCCCAGGAAGGCTCTCACTAAAGATGATCAGTCAGCGCAAAGTTCCTCCCGTTCCTTCTACTGGAGTCTCCAGCCTGCTCTTGATTCGATGGTCTCTTGAAGTACACGTGCATAATCCCTCATTCCTTCCTTCCTTCATTCAACAGACAGAGCCCACCCAACCCCAACAGGCCATCCTAATTCTCCTGGGTAGGGGAGTGGACCAGGAGCCTCATCTCTGCCATCATGGATACACCAGGGCAAAAAGACCAACAATCAATACAGCTTTGCAAAGTGGTGGGCACCACCACCTCCATGTGCTCCCCTTCAAGGCAGCAGGACGTGGTGTTTCCCTCCCATCTTGGCCACAGTGTGGATCGAGCTGCATAATGCTGTGGGCATCAGCACAGAAGTGATGACCCGGTCAGACAAGCAAAGGGCAGCCCCTGTATCCTGTGGGCGGGGAGGGAAGGGGGGCCGGCCTTCTGCTCAGGGTGGGCTCCCAGCAGGTGGGGTGGCTGGTTCCCTGCTGTCTGCAGTTAGACTTCTCTCCTGAAGCTAGACACTGTGGCTGAGGGACACAAACCCCGTGGGAGCTGGGAACTAGGGCCCAATAAGCCCAAAGGAATTGCTGCGGTGGCCAGATGCCTGCACCCCTCTAAATTGCTGTGAATCCCACGAGACCTAGCCAAACCACTGGGCCCATCTGCCTGGCTCCTGTGGCCATGATACATTGGCAAACACAGAACTTCAGAAGAAGAATTAAGGATGTAAGAAGTTGCAAAGCATCCAGCTGACTTCTCTTCTAGCCCCTTTTGAATGGAGGAGACAGCAGATGCTGATGGTGGTACTGGCACATGAGACAGCTGCGAGGCTGGGTGCAGTCAGCCAGGGGTAAAAGGCACAGCTGAGTGTCCACACGTGTGTTGACTTATGTGTATATCCACATCTTGACACCCACATTCCACCCTCTGGAAAGAAAAGTGTGCTGTTATAGGCAAACTCCAGCTAAAGAAGGCCGAAGGCAGCTGTTCTTCCCACGTCTGGGGAGCCGACTGTGGAAGGGAATGTGTCTCCCTGCTCGAGAGCAACAGCCCCAATCTGAACCTCAGGTGCCTTTTCCCAGTGACACCCAAGAGCTGAGTTGTAAGTGACACAGGACACCAACAGGCCATTCTGCAGGCCCACTGAGGGCCAGAGGACATTTGGGTCCTGCCCTGGCCACCCTGATCTCACGATTTTCATAGGGAAATAGATGTGGGCCACGTACTGGCTCCCAGCTTCCAAACAGACTCTGCACAGAAAGGAGTCCCTGAGCACTGACAAGAATGTCAAGGGTGGAGGCAGCTCTCCTAGACTGGTGCTGGGGAGAGCTGACAGCTGCCCCTGGACCATATGGTGGTGAGGATTGGTTCTAATATCCAAGAGCCTGGAAGGAAGTAGAGAAGACAGTGAGGCTGAGCGCATTGGAGGAGGCATCTCCAGTCTGGGTCCCCTTCCTCTGTGTCCTTGGCTTTTCACTCAAGACTAAGTTGGAGCCATTTCCAAGGGCGACGAGAGCTTGCTTTTATTAACCACCCCCCAAGATACTTCAATACAACATCTCCTCTGCTTTACAACCCACACACCTCATTTACTCCCAACAACTTAACAAGCCATGCAGTGTTCTTATCCCTGCTTCACAGATGGGGAACTGATACCTCAATCTAGACTCGTATCTTGCAGAAGGTCCCTTAGCCAGTATTCAGCAGAGGTTAGATTTGAACTACGGCCCAACTGTCTCCAAAGCCTGTGTTCTTTCCTTTGGTCATGCTGCTCTCTGAAAGCCCCAGATAACTGTCTGAAAAAGTTTTTGGGTCTGAACCTGGCCCCGTAACAATGGGAACAAAATGGTCTTTTTTCTCATATCTGAGAAAACACCATTATAAGTCACGGTGCTGTCCTTCTCCAGGTTAACTTGTTCTCATAAGCCTGAAACCATTATTCCACTTGCATTTCTTAAGTGTGAGACTGTTTCTCTTTATCTTGGCCTAAAGGAATAGTAAATGGAGTGGAAAAAACCTCCACATGGAAGCCTTCCAAACACATCCCTGAGGATTTATTTTACAAAGTGCAAATGCCACCAATTATTTATGTATGTGTTAATTGTTGACCACTTATCTAGGCATCCCCCCAACACTGGGAGCCTGAGATAATGAAAGCTTGTCAGCAATTAGCATCTTTTTAAAACCCCAACTCTAACATTTGGGAACATTCCCCCCGTGAAGCCCAGGGCCTGGCACTTTCCCAAGGACAGATATTGAGCTCACGTTAAAGGCCCACCGCTGCCTTTGCAACAACATGTCATTTAGGAACAATGCTCTCTGTGCAATGTCACCCCTCCAAAGCATGCAGGAGCGCAACGCCCCTCCATTTGCAAGGAAGGGGTGTAGCTAGCTGCAGGAGGATGGATTATTTGAAGAGCCTGTTTAAAAGGAAATCAGCAAAGCAGACACCATGAGGCCCGAGTTTTCAGAAGTTATGCCGGGAAGCATGAGGAAACCCCTAAAGAGCGGTTATCACAGAACTTTCTCAGCCACCCTGTGTCTCCTGGGGGCCTGCCTGCTTGGAAAAACGTCCCAAGATGCTGACTCAGCTGCTTCTCCTTGCCCCAGCCTTGTCTCTGGAGCCTCTTTGGTCTTTGTTTCACCAGAAAACTGCCCTGAAGTTCTCTTCATCTCCCAAGACTCCTAATTCTGGCTCCATCCTTATTCTTAGATCCCACTGGGGAATCTTGGATCCCAGAAGGTCTCTTTTCCAGTATTTTGTCCCAAGCCTTTCCCAGGAGCCAGCCCCTCCTTGATGGTCATCTGTTCCCATCTCACCCATCTCTTTGCTCGAGGATCCTTGAAGTCCAAGGCCCCCACCCTTGGCAGGAACAGGAAACACCCCATCTGGGCAGAGGGAAAAGCAGTTGAACATGGGGGAGTGCATGGGCTCAGGTCACTGAAGGATGGTGGAGACAAGGCAATCACTCCCAGCTCTAGGAAAGCCATCTGAGAAAGCTGTATCAGAATTTACCCTGTGAAGCACTAAACCACAGCTCTGGGGGAGGCTGAGAGGGCTGTTTTCCTGGAAGAAAGCTGAACCTGCCTCTTAGGAGTTCAGGGAAGGCACTGGCTGGGAAAGGCTGGAGGGGAAGGCTGGTTGCAGGCTGGGGGCAATCGCTGGCATTTACAGAACACCTCATCCAGCCCAGACCCTGAGCTAAGCCCTCTACACACGATCCCTCCCTGAGTCCTCACAATGGCCTACTGAAAGAGGCTACTGAGCTGCAGCCTACAAATGGAAAAACCAAGACTCAGAAGGATGAAGTGATTTTCCCAAAGTCTCCCAGAAAGTCAGTGTAACCAGGCCTTTCCAATGCAAAACCCATATGGTTTCTACCGTGTTCCACTGACTTGGGCACCAAGAAAAGACGAAACTCAATCTCTGCATGTTTCATAGGTGTTTGGTGCAAAAACAACAGCTAAGCCAGAAGGTGATTCAGGCGACAGTGATAGTGGTGACTGGATAGTGGGGGCCTGGAGAGCTACAGGGCCTTCTGCAAAATCTGATCCTGGTTTCCAGAGTTTCCTGTCACCCCCTTTCAAAATTCCTGGATCACATGCACCTCTGGTTGTCAAAGGATTTTTTTGCATATGGGGAGTAGCCTCTAGTCCCTCACTAGGAAGTGAGCTCCTGGAGGCCAAAGCCTGGTCTAATTACCACGAAGCCACTTGTGGGACACAGCACCTGGCAGACAGTGAACTTCAAAATGTGCCTACAGAATGAATGAATGGGTGATTCACATTTCCAGAGCTGAGTAGAAGGAAGGCCAGGAGCATAAACAGAAACCTTACTACAGTTAAAAAGAATATGAATGTACAGGTGGCCTTTGCTTTGCATGGTGCATGGTACTCTGGTAAACAAAACCCATGCATATGGAACTAGTGTCCTCACTTTGCACGAACTTCATTATACACTTGATTTTTGGTTAACATTGTGCCATGCAAAGTTAGTGCTGCCTGTATTTGCAATTAACACCCCCTTTCTACACATCTGAGAGGATCTGAGAAAGAAACAAAGTGAACTTAAAGTGGAGGAATGCAAGATGCCCTGACCTTTAGGAGGTGATGGAAACATGATCAAATTCTAGAGCTTTTCCTCCAGGATACAATTGTTTCTTCATTTGTACTGAGCGTTGAACCTCCTGATGCTAGTTCCCATAT
This sequence comes from Homo sapiens, assembly GCF_000001405.40. Classification (NCBI taxonomy): domain Eukaryota; kingdom Metazoa; phylum Chordata; class Mammalia; order Primates; family Hominidae; genus Homo; species Homo sapiens. Next base: position 85,924,550 of record NC_000010.11, read on the forward strand.
ATCATGCCTAACAACATAGTAAGTTCTGGACTAGTTTGGTCAATGACATTTAAAAAGATATTACTGAAAGAGAGTTCACTGGAAGAGAGAGTGTTCAGCATTAGACTTTTTTGACATTGGCTCAGATCTCTGAAAAACTATTATGTTGCTATGGAAAAACAAGAAAGAAAGAAAGAATAATTGACTAAATTCATGTAAAATTCTGATAGATGTGAACAATTTCTAGTAAATCATTAGACCTCCCTGGCCTCAGTCCTTCTTGTTGACCAAGTCTGAGCTCGACAGCCAGTCTGAACTGCCTTCCCTGTTCATGTGGATGGCAGAAGCGCCCGCTCACAGCCCCGGGGGAATGAAGATTCATTACAGATCATTTGTGGATCCTTCAGATGAAATAGAGGCAGCTTCCAGGGCTGTGCAGGGAGTGCAATTTACTATAATAAAAAGTGAGAATATGCTACATGTGGACAATTTATAAGGAAACGTTAATATCAGCAGAAAAATGAAATGGAGCCTGCTCACAGGCACGATCTGTTTAATAAGATCAACTTGGAGAAGTGAAGCCAGGAGGCGCCAATGAGTATTGGCCAATGGATACTTGGATTTTAATCAATGGTCCATAATTTCCCTGCCACCTGGAGGGCACAGAAACCAAATAAGGCCCCCCATGTTCTTGTTCTTACAGGCATTCAGGCTAAGTCCTGATGGGAGGCAACGGAGCCCAGCTTTTCTATCCGATCTTGTCTCACAGAGGAGCAAGACATTCAGGCCCTTGGCCACATGGATGCTGTCACACAACTTCTTTAGAGGACCTGGATGTACAGTGGAACAAATCACTTCTGAGATTATTTATGCCCACCCTGGTTTGGCGGGGGCAGCCACCAGCCTCTGCAGTGTGCACTGTGAACAATCTCATGACTCGGTCCCTGAGGGCAGGGGACACGGCCCTGGGGTGGCAGGTGGCTGTGTTGAGCCATTTCTCATACACTCTGCTGTTCAGCTCCAGCTTCAGGTGATTTTCAAATACAAGCAAAGTCCAAAACTGATTAGAAATGTTTTCTCCTCCCTCATACTGGAGCTTGAGAAGCTGCTGCCTGCATCCAAAGACCAACTCCAGGGACCACAGCACCAGATACTGCTGAAGGAGGGTGTGGAGCCATTTTGGACAGGAGAGTCCCTCCCTCCCAGTGCAGCTGTCAGTCTCAGAGCTCCTGACCCAGAGCGGGTACATCCGCTGGGAGAATAGCTACACCTTCCCAGCTGCTCAATTAAAGCATTAGCGCTCAAGGTTAATGCTGTGACCCCTTCAAATCATGCTCATGCAAGCCACTTCTGCACATGAATCAAATTCCTTCCCTCAACCCAAATCATTTTTAAAAGATGGAAACATGTGAATTCTTCTTAAGGCAATAAAGTTGAAAGTAGCAATTCTTTACCAAGCTGATAAGAGCTGCTGAGTATAATTTGTATTCTTTTTTACGAGCCTGACTTTTTGGAGAATGGAATAGAAAGAAAAATATCTGCTTTTTAGTTCTGGAGATATAAGCTTCTTCTACCTCATGGTGCTAGGGAGGAACTCCTGGCCCAGAAACTGTCAGGAAACAAGTCTCTGGATTTGTGACACGGGAAAACTAGGGGAGGTGGCCAGTACACTGGGGGAGAAGAGGTGGATGGTGCGACAGCTGGGGCATAAACGATTGTTTACCTCTTACCTCGGCCACCTGGGCACTCAATTTGGGACTCTGGCTCCACAGAAAGTGACTGAGAGACCACGGGGGGCTCTGAGGTCTTAGGGAGTAAGGAAGAGAGGATATTGCAAATTCAGCAATAAAAGTGTGGGGAGAAGGAAACTATTTTTAGCATCCACAATGTAAATTTTGCTTCACTTTAAGACAGCCCCTCTCCAAGCACAAAGCCCCCAAGCAGTTGGGTCCCAGACCTGGGAATGGCCAAGAGCTTAGTTTTTCCCCAAAGCTCTTGGGGACCTCACAGTAAGCCAGGAAATTGCATTTGGCCCTTATAGAAGGTAGAAACAGAATCAGAAACCAAAGATGCCTGCTCTTAGTCCTCAGGGGTGTGGCCCACCTGCCCAACGCCCACCCCATTGCCAGCACAAAGCACCTGAAAAGGCCCCACCCACAGAATGACATGGCTTAGAGAGAAAACTGTGATACAGGGCTTCTAAGGAGACAGTGTGCAGAAGCCTGGAGGTGTGAAAGGGCATTCGATTTGTAGGGACTGTGGTGGAGCCACATCCTCACATCGTGTGAGTGAGGATTTGAATCTAAAGTTACCAGATGAGGCAAAAATCAATTAGACAAAATTAGCCATAAAGATTTCTTAATTCATGGATATGAAATGGTACAGAAAACATCATTTGTGTAAAGAACCCTGTATCTGTTCCCCTAACCTTTATCAATCACTATTTCTCTACAGCCCTCAATTAGCTTCATTTTCTTCCCTGAGTGTATTAACTAAATCATCACCCACTTACCTAGCCCTGGTCTCTCAGGCCACTGCTCTAATTCAAATGCTCAGACCACTTTGGAAACTCTTCCTGCCTTGCAAGTTAGGACAGGAAGTGTGTGGGCAAGCTGACCACGTGAGAAGCCCTCTAGACCATGCATGCACTCTCCCCAGCAGGTCCTGGCACACAAACTATGTCAGGCTTCACTATGCCGACTGCCTGTTGAGGCAGATGTGGCATCATCTGGCCTGAGAACCAATGGACTGTGAGTTAAATGTGCACATGATGCATCTCCACTGTTGGTCACCCCATGGCTTAATACCCGAGGTGGGAGGATCAGTGGCATGAGGCATGAGTTATTACCTGAAACACTACCAGGTCCCAGTCAACAGGGTCTTCTGCCAGGCAGCAGAGCCTGGCTTTTACCCCATAAGCTGCGAGTTTCCAGATTGTGTTCCACAGGATGTGAGGGTCTTAGAAGATGTAAAGTTTCTTGTAAAAAAAAAAAAAAATCTGTGGGAAAGTTGGAGATATACTGCACTTATATCTCCAGCTTGAGAATGACAAAGCATACTAAACAAACAAGTCCTCTTTTCCCAGAAACTTGTCAAAATTGGCTATACCCGGTGTTTATTTTTCAAACGAATCTCCCCAGAATATTCACTTTCTTTGTTCGAGAAACACATCAATATTTCACAGGACACTGAGGTTACAACAGGAACAGAATCAGGTAAATGGAGATGCAGACTTGGGCATCCATGGAAGGAAGTTAGGATGGAAGAGTATGGTCAGATCTGGATTCCAGATAGGCCAGCCTGGCCATGTGGAGGTGAATTTCACAAGCGAGAGCATTTTAAAAATTTGCTGAAAAGTAGTTACAATAGTCCAGAAAAGAGGCAATGAGGACGACAGCAGGGTATGGGGCATTGGCCCAGGAAGAAAAGGATGGAGCTTAAAGCGTTTAGAAAGAAAACATTGATGGGATGGAGTCATAGGTTGAAAACTGAGTAAGGTACAAGGAGAAAAAGGAACCTGATGTGACTTCCAGATGCAGCTGCATAAAGACAGATGCTGGATAGGCTCAATGAGGAAGATGATGATTCATCCCACTAAACTCCCTCAGGCAGCAGGAAGTTGGAGAGGACAATCTTAACAGTTTGGGAGAGACCAGGTGTGGTGGCTCACACCTGTGATCCAGCTGCTCTGGAGAAAGAGGCGGAGGATCGTTTAGGGCTGGGAGCTTGAGACCAGCCTGGGCAATATAGCAAGATTGCATCTCTAAAACACTTACATAAATACATAAAGTTTGGGAGAGATGAGTAATCACAGGAGCGGACAGGGATAGGGCAAGGGCTTCACTCAGGCAAAAGGGAAAGGTCTGCAAGGATAAGGCAGATTATGCAGCAGCAAGGCAGCCTGCACAGTCCCCGTCCTCCAGTGTGGGAATCGGCACTGGCAGGCTTGGCCTGCAGACACCAAGTCACTCCAGCTGCAGAACTGGTGACCTGTGAAGGCTGGGAGCTGGGCCAAAAGTGGCACGACAGGAAGCTCCCTTTCCCCCTTGCACCACGACTGATTCACTATTGCGGAGCCCTCACATTCCTGGGGACAGCACAGCTCACATCCAGCTGCCCCACTTTCAAGCCCCAGGGATGTATTTTTAAAATAATGAGTTATACACACAAACATACACCTACATTCCCTGTACTGGTTCAGGGGGTTCCCAGGCCTCACTGGAAGCCTTCATCTTTATCCTTGTAAATGTCATGTTACTGGAATCAGTTCACTGCTCTACACAAACCATTCAGAATATTTTGGAACCTCTTCTTGTCTTCCAACATTACCCTCTTCACCTTAGATCGTGAGCAAAGGTAAACTTTAGCAGACTAGTACCCTGTTTGATCAACCAGGGAAATATATGTGAAGAGGACTCCAAACCTAGTTCTTGCTTTTCCTCTTTTGCTTTTAAACTCCTTGGATTTCACTGTTTTTTCATCTGCAAAGTCTGGGAGATAGATAGACAAGACTGATGCTTGGGTCTCAATATGTTCGAAAATGCTATGGGGGCAGGTTCCCAATAGTTTGAGGAATCCAGTGGTTTGGGAGAAAAGGAAAGGGTGTCCCACATTGGGGTGTGTGAGAAACAGTTGTAGGATTTTGTCTACCCCATATCAGAGAGTCTTTGGTGTGTGGAGATGCCCATTGTGTGCAAGGCCAGCACAGGACCTAGGCTTAGCACAGCAGATCCCCTTGAATCTTGAGATAGTGACTCAAAGGTTTAACTCACTCCCCACGAGAACAGCAGTGTTGGGGTCCACCGAAGGTGTCTTATCCAGACTGACCCAGGGTAACCTCAGCAACATCTGTTCCATCCAGCCTCCCATGGCTTTCTGGGCCTAGTTCTCCAGCATTCAGCCCACCTCTGTGAGTTGACCAGTGTCATTTGAATAAATTACTTTTATTTCTTATTAACTCCATTCTAAAACTTTATACAAACAATAGGGAAGATAATATTTATTTTTAAAATTTAAATATCAAAAACTGGCAAGAGCCTTGTGCCGTATAAGGGTACAATCAAATGTTTTAAAAGGGAGAATAAACTGAGTAATTTCAAAGCACAATGTTACAATTACAGACAATAGTTTCTAAGCCTATTATTCTATACTAAATCTTAATTTTTAAAAGGCAGAATTAAAAGCCTTCTATTGACAAATGGCAGTCCCTGGTCCTAATGCCACTCCCAGTCCTGCTCCCCAGAGGCAAACACTTATAACTCTTTCATCTGTTTCTTTGGGATTTACTTCCATATTTCTTAATCATATTTAATCATGTTCACACTGCTATACTTGGTTGATCAACTTTAGCACTATCTATTATGTTCCTGATACTGCAGAGAGGACTTAGGTCTCTTAATCCTCTCATCCTTTCATTTCCCTTCCCAGTATTTCCAATCTACCTGTATCACAATTTGTAAATTAAATCAAATGTATTGACTCCATTATGGTTATGATACTATTCACTACTAAGCCAAATAGTAGACTATGATTATATTATTTCCTTGCTTATACAACTTTTGCTTTTTTGCATTAACAATTGCTCTGACTTGTAGTTATTTATAACTACAAATAACTTGCGGTTATTTATAACTACAAATAACTTGCGGTTATTTATAACTACAAATAACTTGCGGTTATTTTTAACTACAAATAACTTGCGGTTATTTTTAACTACAAATAACTTGCGGTTATTTATAACTACAAATAACTTGCGGTTATTTATAACTACAAATAACTTGCGGTTATTTATAACTACAAATAACTTGTGGTTATTTATAACTACAAAATTGTTTTATTTATATTTATAGTTATTTATTTGTAGTTATATATTATATTATATTTATAATATAATGTACTTTTCCAAATGCTCAATGCAACAAAATAAGCTTTCCATTTCCTTAAGCCCTGGAGAGAGCCCATTCCAGCTCTCTCCCTTCTCTTGTGTGGACCAGTTGGTCTCCAGTTGGATGAGCAGGGGCTGTCATGAGACTTCCTTTCTGCTCTGCTGGTTGGATTCTCTGTAACTGCTATTATGCTTACTTTTATCTTGTTTTGGTATTTTGACTTTATTTTTTTTTTCTGAAGCCCATCCTACCACAGAAACTTCTTAAGCAAAGATTCACAGTGTGTAAGTTTTTGAGTATTTCCATGTATGAATTTTTTTAACTTTGCTATCATATTGATTGATAGCTTCACTTAGTATAGAATATGTGAATATTAATTCTTCCTCAGAAATAGCACCTCTCCAGTATCTTCTAGTATGGATGTTACTTTTTCTATTTTATTTTTTTAGACAGAGTCTCACTCTGTCATCCAGACTGGAGTGCAGTGGTGCGATCATGACTCACTTCAGCCTTGACCTCCGGGATCAAGCAATCTCTCACCTCAGTCTCCCAAGCAGCTGAGATTACAGGTGTATAACACTATGCTGGCCTAATTTTTGCATTTTTTGTAGAGACTGGGTTTTGCCATGTTGCCCAGGCTGGTCTCAAACTCATGTGATCTGCAGGCCTTAGCCTCCCAAAGTGCTGAGACTACAGGCATGAGCCACCAGGCCTGGTGTTACTCTTAAGCATCCTAATGCCACTTTGATTCCTGTTCTTTTCATGTCACCTACTCTCCCTCCTCCCCTTTCCTCCTTCTCCTTTTCCTCCTCCTTCCTTCCCTCTCCCCCTGCCCTACCCCTCTACCCAGTGCCTTGGTGTGGTTGTTCTTTTCATCTACTTTGAGTAAGAGCTACATGGTTGGGAGGACTTTTTAATCTGGAGACACATGTCCTTTAACTCTGAAATATTTTGTTACTTATTTCTCTGATATTTGCCTTTTCTTTATTTTTTCTGTTCTTGCTCTAGAATTTCTACTAGAATATTAAACTTTCTAAATTGAGCCATGCATTTTTATCAACTTTTCTCTCTCATTATATACCTCTTTGCCTTTTTGCTTTACTTCAATTGAACTTTTAAAATTTCAGTCATCATGTTTCTCTTCAATTGCTGCTTTGTGCTCCCTGTTCTTTTTCATAGCAACCTGTTCATGTCTTAAGGGTGCAATATTTTTTAATCTCTTTAAGACTAATAATAGCATTTTTGAAGTTTTCTCTTTTTCCTTACATTATTTAGTTTGTCCTGGATCCCTTTGGTATCCCTTTGTGTTGTACTCTCTGTTTCATATAAAAGACATTCCTCAAATGCATAATGATCCTTAATTGTCCTTTCATGTTTAATATGAAGCATTAAGAAGCTCATTGAAGGGTATGGGTGTGACTTGTGGATAGGGGGACTTCCTGTCCTTTGCAATGGAAGATTCCCCAATGTCAGCATTTGGAGGTATTTTCTCCAGAGTCCTTCAGTTTCTCCAGAAAAGACTCCTATTATATCCTGCCAGAAGAGAGCACTCCAGCCGCTGGCATCCTGGGAGCAGGTCAGAAGAAGCAGCCAAAGGTTCTACTATCGAACATGTCAATCTCTGCTTAATTTTTCCTGGTTTGTACCACCTGCCTAACCTGGGCTTTCTGGAGTTTCTGGGTGCTGAGGCTCTCAGAGGCCTGCCGGCAGAACCAGGCTCACCCCACAATAGTATCTTTATTACCAAGCACTAACACTGTAACATCCTTGCATCTGCTACATCAGTTACCCTTCTTCCATCCACTTTTTTAAAAATTGAGACAGGGTCTCCCTCTATCACCCAGGCTGAGTGCAGTGGCACAATCCTGGCTCAATGCAGTCTTGACATCCTGGGCTCAAGTGATCCTCCCACCTCAGTCTCCTGAGTAGCTATTACTACAGGCACATGCTACAAAGCCTGGTTAATTTTCTTTTTAATTTTTTGTAAAGATGGAGTCTCATTATGTTACCCTGGCTGGTCTCGAACTTCTGGACTCAGGGATGCTCCTGCCTCAACCTCTCAAAGTGCTAATATGAGCCACTGTGCCCAGCCCTCCATCCACTTTCTATTTTCCAAAAACTGGCCCCAAGCACCTATCCACTGTTGTCTCCTCTTATGAATTCTTTGATCTTGTAGATTTGCAACACTTTAACCCTTTGCCATCATTTTAGAATAGTTTAGGGGAGAGCAGGGATAAACATGGGCAACCAATCAGACTTGTCTAATCAATTAGAAGTCAATAAATCCAAAGTCCATCAGAAGTCAATAAATTCTCCTTTTCCTTAAGCTAACTAGAGCAGGCTTCTGTTGTTGATGACTAAGAACACTGACTGATGCAAGGTGGCTGGACCAGGGCACAGCAGGGATGAGCATGGCTTGTGCAGGGGCTGACAGAAGAGGGAAAATCGGCAGCAAAACAAAATAAAAGGAATATCGATTTTCTGCACCAAGCCTGGAAAACTAGCTGAGAACCCAAACTCCAAAACTTCTTATATAGAACTTGCTATGGTTCGAATGTATCCCCAAAAAAACATGTGTTAGAAACTTAATTCCCAATGCAACAGAGTTGAGAGTGGGGTCTAATAGAAGGTGTTTGTGTCATGGGGCACCATCCTCATGTATAGATTAATGTCAGCATTGCAAGAGTGGCTTCCTTATAAAAGGGTGAGTTTGACTCCCTCTTGCTCTCCTGCTCACTCTCTCTTACCCTCTCTTGCCCTCCTGCTTTCTGACATGGGATGGCACAGCACAAAGGCCCTTGCCAATGATGCAGACTCCTCAACTTTGGACTTCCCAGCCTCCAGAAGTATAAGAAATAAATCTCTGTTCTTTAAAAAAAAAAAAAAAAAAAAAAAAAAACTTATTTTAGATTCAGGGGTATATACACAGGCTTGTTATATAAGTAAATTGCATGTTATGAGGGACGGGTATACAGATTATTTCATCACCCAGGTAATAAACATAGTATCCAACAGGTAGTTTTTCAATATACTACCTAATATCAGGTATTCTGTGATAGCAGCACAAAATGGACTAAGACATAACTTATTTTCATACACTTTGGAAAGGTGGACCTTCTGGCCAGACTTTGGGATAAAACAAGGAATTCTCTGCTCCAATCTTCAGGCCCTGGAGGCTGTTTGGGGCTGTGTGTTCTTTGGAATCAAGCAGTGAAACAGACACAACTTCATAGAGAATTCTTGATCAAGCCCACAAGTCCATTTTGGGCGCAGGCTCGATTTATCACTTCTAGAAGGGAAGAATGTCAAATGCTTATCCTACAACTTCATTCCACAGCCCATTTATATGAACATACATCAAGCAATCCAAAGAAAGAAGAGGTGCGGAACCATCAGTAACCTCGGGATTGACATTATATCAACAGGATGTGCATGAGGGCTGGAGATTTATAATAGTCTGCTCAAAGAAATAGTTCAAACATACTGGCTCACTTTGATCAACACATCTTTCTAGAAGGATGAATGATTTAAAAATGTACAGAACAGGAGATCTGAGCTCCTTCAACATAAATATAGGCTGAGGGTTTCCTAGGTACCCTGTCCTCAGTGAGGGTGAATTTGCAGGCAAGAAGGGAAGCCACTGATGCTGTCTCTTTCCTCAATCAGATTGGGCTCCACTGTGGGGTTATGTAGGGAGGAACAGATAGTGCATGCAGTCTGTGGATGGGCAAGCTGTCTGGAGGGACCTCTGACGGGAGAAGTGAGAGCAAGCTGGAATAGTAGGAATGGCTTCATGGAGGTACTGGGCTGAAAGAGTGAGAGGTTTGGGTAGACCTAAAGGAAGAAGTAGGTCATTGAAATCCTGTGAAGTCAAGAAAGAGCAAAACATCTCCTTGCCCTCAAAAATAACGTAAGTATAAAGAAAAGTTACTCTGAGTCCAGTGTGCCCAAAGTATGCCCCAAAATATGGAATGGAAGAACCCTAAGCTGCAGAGATTGGACACACACACACACACACACACACACACACACACACACACACAGAGCAAAGATAAATAGCTCATCAAAATGACACACCTCCAGGCTAGCTGTGGATTGGAGCCAGAGTCTGGGCTATATTCTAAGAGTCTAGATTCACATTTAGTGCTCTGGGACAAAAATCATATGTTGTTCTCAACAAAACCACTTTACACATCACTTTCAGTACAAATATGATGAAAAGTGCCTAATTTGTCTTCTTTCCTAATCCTTTTTTTGTAAAATACCTATGTCTTTTAGAGCAGAAAATGAAGTTAGTATGAAAAGGGCAAGGAGAAGCCACAAGCAGACAGGATGCCAGTCACGCTGGCTGGGGCCACTGCCAGGCGTGGCCTGAGTGCCAGGCAGCTCCAGGAGGGAGGAGGTGAGTAGGGACCTCCTGCCTCTTCAGGAGCAGGTTAGTAAGCACTGATCCCCACCCACAAGTAAGTCCTGTAGACTTTGGTTGGGATAAAGCCACCTCGGTACTTTAAGGCCTCCAGAGCTTTTCTGGTTATTTTCATAAAGATAAATTCTAAAGAAAGTTCATGTCATGGAAAAAAAGACCAGGTATAGACTTCATAGAAGTAAGTTTCACAAAGTCAAGAGCAAAAGCATCTAATATTGATTACATGCTGACCATGACGGGTCCCGGCTAACAGCTCTATACAGATTACTTCCCTGAATCCTTACAGTAGCCACTTCATCAGGGGTACTATTGTCTCAGTTATTAAAGATGAGACAGCAGATGCTGGAGATGTTTCCTTATTCACCCAAGATCATACAGAAAATAAGAGGCTGAGCCAGAAGAGGATCCCAAGTCTGCTCGTGGCCAAAGACCCCTCAATTGCCTCCCAAGGGAAACTGAGGCAGGGTGAGAGGTCACCTGAAGAAGGTAGAAAGCCTCAGAGATGGAGTTCTGACCTAAAGATTACAAATATCCTCCCAAAATCACCCCAGTGTGGCTGGACAGGGAGCTCTGAGAAGGATGGATAAGGTTGCCCAACCTCCGAACAGAGGCAGCCTGGAGGGCCAGTATACACGCAGAGTATCAGCCTGACCCTCCACATGCCTCAGAGCTGGGACATGGGAGCTGCTTTCGAGTGAATAACAAGTATCTGTGTGCCAGGCCCAGCCAGGACCACAGCTCAGCCCCTCTGTACATTCACCCTGGCAAAAGAGCCATGGGGACATCAAAAACACCAATCATCATAGCCAATTGCATAGCAATTTCTATATGCCAGGCACTGTACTAAGTATGCTTCATATGTCAATTCCTTTAATCCCCTCAGCAACTCTGTGAGGTAGGTGCTGTTGTTAGCTCTGTATTTCGGATGAGTAAACAGAGGCACAGAGCAATTCTTTCACTTGTCCAAGGTAACAGAGCTAGATAGTGGTAAAGGCCTAAATTTCAACCTGGCAATCTGGTGCCAAAACCAAGACTCTAAACTCTCTGCACACTACCTTGCCTTATACCAAGAACTACTCTAGTTTTGGCATGCCTAATAAATATTTATGAGGACCTACTATGTGCCAGAGCCAGTGTATGAGCTGGGAATACAAACATAACTGATATCATGCCTACCTTTCAGGGTCCATCATCTGCAACACAGACACATACACAGGTATAATGGTGTAGGGGTTCTATGGAGGGGTGGGGTGCACAGGATATTATGGGACCACATATTAGGATACCTAACTCAACTTCAGGGAGTCAGGGAAGGTTTCTTGGAACAGATGATGCTGAACTACATCTTAAAAATTAGATGGAAGTTAGCTAGAAAGACAGCCTAAGAAACACCAAATTTTAATTCTTCTAAGGCTTTTAAGCTCTGCCAAGTCAAATCCCTGGGAAGCTCTAAGCCTGGATGATATCATTTCAGCTCTCCATGGAAAAATTCACACCAAACTAGAATATCACACTGTTTATGCCTTTGGCTTCCAGCCAGAGCTGATATAAGAGGCAGCCACATGAATCGCATTTGCATTGTTTGTAAAACTGCAAGCAAAGACACTATCCATTATGTTGTTCTATGTCCCTTATCTAGAAACTCATGTGATAAATGCCTTCTAAAAAAGCACCAAACTAAAAAAAAAAAAGAAAAAGAGAAAAAATAGAAGCCTCACTCCCAATGGACTGGCATTCTTCCTTATAGTAAGCATTGAGGGTCATGCATTCTATCCAGTTCTGTTTGTTGCCTTGCCTACTGGGAAGCTCAGAGCAGAGGGCAATGTTAAGAGCTTCCTTTAGCCTATGTTTTTTGGCATAAGGATCCCTTTGCCCTTGTTTACTTGCCTCTATTTTGACAGAAAAAGTGGACATTTAATATTTTTATTGAGTTATTTTGATGTTCAATTAAAAAGTATTTGGCTAAGAGACGGTGAGTTTTAGAATGCCATTAATACAATCTCTTCTTGCACTAAGTTAAAAGAGCAGTTATTAAGTTAATTTTAATTCACATTTGTTTTTCAACTCAATAGAATTTGATTTTATAAATTAAAATAATGCTTTTGTTTCCTAGATGTGGCCATTACCCAATTTTACTGATGTGAACCAAGCCCAGACCGACCTGGAGAGCAGCTTCTGGAGGCACCACCAGCCAATATCCTGGTTTGTTCCACTCAAATCCTCACCCAGGCTGTTTTCCTTTACATGAGACCAGTGGTTTTCAACCCTGCACATCTGATTCACCTGAGCAGCTTCAGAAAATCCCAGTGTCCAGGCCTCATCCCAACAATTCTGGCTTAATTAGTCTGGGGTGTGGCCTGGACAAGCATTAGTACTTCTAAAGAAGAGCAAAGATGCTAAAGATAAAGATGGCCTGTGCAACAAGATGTGAAAACTTCCCAGTCTAACGTGAAACACAGATGCAGGAGGTCAAAATGTAGAGCAGCCTGGGCCCATTTTCAGCAGGGGAAAAAGGTAGCACCTTCTGACTGGCCCCGGTGGGCATCAGAAAACTAAAACTGTTATTCAAAATACCCACCTGTGTTCATCAGAAAAGGACCATTTCTCTCTGTATCCAGCCGAGTAGCTGTGTTGAAGGTATCACCTGCCCTACCCTGTCTCATCTCAGTCTTATGTTCTGCTCAGAGTTCACCTTGTGGTTGACCTGACTATATTATCATAGCCCATTGCTCTTGAGGGTCTCCCCTCTTAAACTGTAAGATTCTAGATGATAGGAGCTGAGTTTGATTCATTTTTGTAACCCCAATGCCTAACCCCATAGCTTTTAGCCAGGGGCAATTTTACCTCCACTGCCCTCCTCCCACTGGAACATTTGGCAATGTCTGGGGACATTTGGGGTTGTCAAAACTTGAGGTGAGGGGGTCAAGGGTATCAAATGGGTAGAGGTCAGGAAGGCTGCTAAACATCGTACAATGCACAGTTCTGCCCCCACCACAAAGAAGTGCCCAGCCCAGAATTCCAACACTGCCGAGGTTGAGAAAACCAGGGCTAGCTTAATGTTCAACACAAAGTTGACACTAAATATCAGAAAGATATTCACATCAAGAAGTTTCTTCTTCCCATACTTATTCATCATTCAGATAAGGCCAATGTGATCTATCAACATCTAGACTCTCCATCCCAGATTTATTAGCTATCTGGTCTCAATTTGACAAGCCTTTGAGCTTAATATATTCTACAAAGCCATCAACCAACAGAGTTTCTTCCAGAGGTATGAATGCCTCCTTTCCAATTATGATCCCAAAGATCTTGCCAGGGGGAATCTGGATGGGAGAATCCAACTCTCTAGGGCAAGTTCTCCAGGAAAATCCACCTGAATTAAGGAGAAAAATACTTGGACATATTTTCTATAAGTAAGACCCAATATTGAGGGAAAAGTTCAGCCACAGCCATTCCTCCCTAGTGGATTACCAGCATCTAAGTGCTCGGATGGGGTCAGAGTCCACCCTCTACTCTTGCCCTGACTTTCAATACAACGTTCTCCAATTTTTCATCTTATATATTTCAAAATTAGAATAACAATGAGATAAATCAATATTTTTATTTGAGCACTTACTATATGCTGGGCAGTGTGCTCAGAGTTTTACATGGCTTGTCTCCCGTAACTCTCACAACAACGCTATGGGGTAGTTTCTCTCATGGTTCCTATTCTACAAATGAGAAAAGTGAGCCTCAGAGACATCATAAAATGCCACGATACAAACGAGCCAGGATTTGACCTCAGGGATAGTGAGTAAACATGCTGAAAATATACAAAAGGCTCTCCAGTTCTAATCAACAGTATTCTGGGGGCCAATTAAAAACCCAGTCCTCTATGGGTCATCACCAGTAACAATAGATTAGAAACAGGCCAGAAGCTAATTTGGCCAGCCTCTAGCTGGGTAATCGCAGGTAGTCATTTAACCTGTGATTTGGAAAGCTTTAAAAAATTACAACTTGATAATACCAGCAACAACAATCTCTCATATTCAACCGAAAAAAGTCACATGAAAGTATATTAAGTAAAATCCCTTTTTAAAGTTAATTTCTTCAAAATAAATTAATCAAGTAAATTTGAGCATAGTTGTTCAAACCTGCCAAAGTTTGATTAGTTTGTAAACGGATGCTGACACTTGTAGCCTCCTGGAAAACCAAGCCTTGTCAAATGGTTGTCCCTGGAGGCCAACCCTCAGCAGGTGGGTCATTGCTCAGTCCCAGGCCGCCTGGTGCCTGGTCTGTAGGACAGCCTCTCTGCCAGCCTACCTGGACTGCCTCCGGGGGACCCCTGATTCCTCCAACCTGAGTTCAACAAGGAGGTCAAGGTCAAGTCTATGCTTCCCCACCTCTCCCTACCCAAGTAGGTCTTACTGGGCCCCATGATCCAACAGAGATTGCTTTCTTATTAGCTTATAGACAGGATACAACCTGTATTAGCTCTTTATTGATGCTGCCATAAATTACCACAAGTTTAGTGACTAAGCACACAAAGTTTAGTGATTTAGCAAAAACCTACAAAGTTTGGTAGAGTAGATGTCTCACTAAGCTAAAATCAAGGTGTTGACAGGGCTGCGTTCCTGTCTAGAGGCCCTAGGATAGAGTGTGCTTCTTTGCCCTTTCCAACTTCTAGAAGCCACTCTCATTCCTTGGCCCCTTCCTCCATCTTCACAATCAGCAGCAACACGTCTTTCTGGGCCTTTCTTGGGGAGTCATGTCTTCCTCTGACTCTTTGTCTCCCTCTCCCACTTTCACAGTCACTTGTGATTCCATTGCGCCCACCTGGATAACCCAAATAAGTTCCCTGTTTAAGGTCAGCTGATTAGCAACAGTAATTCCATCTGCAACCTTAATTTTCTTTCGTCCTGTAACATAACATATTCATTGGTTCCAAGAGTTAAGACAGAGACAGGCTGAGTGTGGTGGTTCATGCCTATAATCCCAGCACTTTGGGAGGCCAAAGTGGGAGAATCACCTGAGGTCAGGAGTTCGAGACCAGCCTGGCCAACATGGTGAAATCCCATCTCTACTAAAAATACAAAAAATTAGCTGGGCATGGTGGTGCACACCTGTAATCCTGGCTACTTGGGAGGCTGAAGCAGGAGAATCGCTTGAACCTGGGAGGCGGAGGTTGCAGTGAGCAGAGATTGCACCACTGCACTGCAGCCTGGGCGACACAGTGAGACTCCCTCTCAAAAAAAAAAAAAAAAAAAAAAGAGAGAGAGAGAGACAGCTGTGGGCAGGGGGCATTGTTCTGCCTGCCACAACTCTTAGATGTAGTAGCAAACTGTCAGAGGAATTATCATAGTAGTTTCTTAACTGAATGTGAATGCCTTTTGATGGGACATGCCTCTCCAGTTGGTTCAGTCCCCAAGACTCTCTTGTTTTTTCCAACACTCTGCTCTTATTTACCTTCTCTGTCTGGCCCACAGAGGCAGCTGAGTTTCTAACCCATGTGTAGTGAATCTTCAAAGGAGGGCCCATCTCACTTAGCTTCAGCTCTGCTCTTAGGAAGCTGAGCTGAGAGTAGTGATATCATATGCAGACCCCCAGAGCTGCTGGCAACCCTCTCCAAAGCTATTGGGATGAATAATAAATGCAGATTCCAGGGTGCACACACTGATGTGGCTTCTGAAAAAGAAATTGGAGAAACATCCGTTTCTATCGATGTCTGGGTGACTTACAGCTCTGGAAATATATCTATGGAATGATTTATCTGAATTTTATAGACCCTAGGCTTCTCCCAACCAAAACCCAGTTACTGCTTCCATAATAACTCATCCAATGGATTGCTTTAAATTTAAAGGGTGCAGGGAGAACTTTGACTGCCTGCAATGTTTAAATCTTGTCTTCTGTGGAGGTTCTGTTAAACTTCTGGATGGCCTGGACAAAAGCACTGTTGACCCATGGGGACAACTGGGTTCAGTGGCATGGGAAACACAAAGAGGCAGAGCCAGACCCTGGCTGAAGAAAGCATCAGCCAGAACCTTGGAGAGGAGAAGAGACCGAGGCAGGGGCTCAGGGTGCCAAAGCAGCCGCTCAAGCTCCAAGAGCTTCCTCAGAAGGGTTGCTATAAACCAAGACTGACTACCAATATAAGAACCATTCTGCTTGGGGAAGGCCAGATCACAGGATGGGGAGACTGGAGAAGAATTGTATGTATTAAGGACCCACATATATCAGGTGCTTTTCATCAATCTGTGATGTGTGATGTGTATTCATTTATTCTTCCCACCTTAGGAGGGTTGGTCTTCATAATCAGGAAGATATAGGTTCAAATCCTGGCTGCACTATATGCCAGCTGGGTGTCCTTGGGTAAGTTATTTAACCTTTCTGACCCTCGTTTTCTCATCTGTATTTAGAAATTATAGTCTATACCTCACAGAGCCTGAACCTTTTAAAGTGCATTTTTGAAGAATGTTTAATAGCATGGGAAAATGCTCATTAACAGCATTAAAAGAAAAAAATATAGGATGACACACAAAAACCACATAACTCTAGTTCTGTAAAAAGAATATATACATGTTGAATATATGCATATCTATATGCTGTGAACATATATGCATAGACAGATGAAAGAAAATAAATAAAACTATTAACGATGGTTATATCTACATGGTGGGAATTCAGATGATTTAATTTTTAAATGTACTTTTTATATTTTCCAAATTGCCTACAATGAACATGACATACTTTGAAATATTTTTCTAGATTTGCATTTTTATTGCAAAAGTGATCCATGTTCAGTGTAGGAAATTAAACTTTGTTACCACTGGGAACAGCTTGTTATGAATTCTTCCAGATGTTTTTCTGTGCCTATCTAAATATATATGCACAAGGCATGAATTTCACAGGTCACAAATTCAGGAGGTGTGCAAAAGAGGGCATCTTTAGTTTTTTGTGATTGAATTTTATTTCTATCCCAAGCCCCATTCCACTTAGTGGCAGAAACGTAATTTTAAGCAATGGAAAGTGAGATCAGGCAAATAAGAATGCTCCCAGACAAATAAGAGTTTTCCCTGTGGCTTTAACTGCCTCCTGTCTCCTACTTCTCCCTGGAATTGCATCTTCATCCTAGGGAGCTTACACGGTGCTGAAGTGTGCAGTGGGGCACTGGAGGGGTCATCTTTCCATGCTAGCTTGAACCTAGATATACTTTTCCCCTGCCCTCCGTCTTCAGGATCTATCCCAACTAATGGACTCTTAGATATCCAAGTTTCTCAAATGTACTGATCAACCCAAGCCAAACACACTGGGGCACCCCTTTCTCAGCTGTGAGCCTTCTTCTGGTCCAAGAGACTTGGGTCCTCAGTTTCTCAAAGTCCCCCTCAAGGGGACACGTGGAAAGCTTCCAGATGCTATCCTGTGCTCCCCTGGGAGGGGCACTCACAGGCTTTCTCTGTCTAGACCTGCCTCCTACCCCCACCCTGCCAATTTCTAATCTTCTGATGCTGCCTATACCTGGTTCAGAGGATGTTGGTGGGGGTCTCCACCTTCACAGAGTTCAGAGGGGTCTCTGACTCTTATGTCTCCAACTGTCTGGGGCCTGTGATCCAGACCTTCCTTCCCCACACTAGGGGGATCCCCACCCTAAAGATCACTTCACAGATACCCATCCAAAACTTAAATGAGAACACTCAGATTCTCCACCCAGCTTCCTCTCCTTCCTGCAGCTACTGTAATCTTTATCTCTTTTGCATGGACCTGGCGGACAGTGAGCCTCGGTGTTCGTGTTCAAGGTTTAAGACATAAACCTGATGCCAGGGGTCCTTTATCTCTGCCTTGGAATGGAGACTATGCAAGCCTTCTCCTCAAATCAATGTCTCTATTATAGATTACAAAAGTCTATTTTGAAATTCCAAAGCTGAAATTAACTTTTGTCCTGTGGTCCTATGTGTTGCCTGAATACTGGGAGAGGAGAGGAAGTGAGGCATAGAAAGAAGAGAAAAGAGCAGCTGTTCATATTCAAAACTATTAAATACTACACATGTCTTTGGTTGTGTGAAATAAAGATACACAGCTTAGTAATAGTATGACAGTAGAAGCATATCATACATACTTTCTACAATATTCTTATCACCACTGAAAAATATGCCTTTGAGTTATTGGGCTAATAAATTCTTTGCAATAGTTGAAAACTATTCTATTATTCCATTTTGATATCTAATCATTTGTTTCAAAAATAGAGTTGCTTCCAATTTTTCAATATTTAATGCTTCAATGAACATTCTTGTGCATATCTCTTGCTCACTTGATAAACTATTTCTGGCAGATAAATTCCTAGAGGAAAAATTGTTATGTCAAAGGATATTGCCAAATAGCCCCCTACCAAAAAATTATATATGGGAACTTTACAGAAATAACATTTGAGTTCTGTGAGGGAAAATGATTATTTAATAAGGAAATTTAATAAAGAATGCTGGAATAAATCAAAGATATATAAAATATATGCCATATTTTTTAAAACTATATGCCAAACAGATTAAAGCTCTAAATGGAAATAATAAAATATCTATACTGGGAGGGAAAAAAATACCAGAAACATAAGCATTACCTCACCATGGAACTAGGAAGAATTTCTTAAGCCAGATCATCTTTAATATAGTGAAAAATACCATAAAGCAAAAAGATAAATGAAAGATTAGAGAAAATATTTGCAATGTACTGTCCCTTGCTATACTTGGGGATTGAATCTACCCCCACCTATACCAAAATCCAGGCACACTTAAAATCACAGCTGGCCCTGCAGAGCCCACCTCTATGAAAAGTCAACCTATGTAGTTCAAACTCATGCTGTTCAAGGGTCAACTATACATGCCAAGCAAGTGGTTAATATCAGTAAATAAAGAGCTCCTTTAGTATTAATAAGAAAATAAAGGAGAATGGGGCAAAGGATTGCAAAAGCAATGCAGAGAAAAAGAAATTGAAAAGGCTAATGTGATAGATCGCAAACAATGGCCACACGATTCTCCCTCCCATCAGGAGAGATATCTACTTCCCCAAGCCCGGAGTCTGGATTGGCTGTGTGACTTTTTTGGCCAATGGGAAATGAACAAACATAACCTGAGCAGAGACTTTAAAAGTTCTCAGCACTGGGGCTTGTCCTATCTTGCTGCTCTGAGGAATCCTGCCACAGTAGCCTGTGAACAGTCTCTGTCTAGCCTGGTGGATTATGAGACACACATGGCCCACTGGCCTCCATTGCCCTAGCCAACAGCCACCCAACTGGCAACCACAGGGCCACCTAACTGACCAGTAGCTGACCACAGATCTGTGAAGGAGCTAAGCCAAGACCAGTAACAGAACTTCCCGGCTGAGCCCAGCCCAAACTGGTGGCCCACAGAATTGTGAGCTAAAATAAATGGTTGTTGCTTTAGGCCACTAAGGTTTGGGGTGATTTGTTATGCAGCAAAAGCGAACAAAAATAGCTAATAAACAAATAAAAATGTGCTCAAGCTCACAAGCAGCAAATTTAAGCATGGTATTATTTTTAACCCCTCGAATTGACAAAAATGAAGAAAAATAATAATTTCAGTTCAGCAAGGATGGAAAGAAATAATATTTCTAGTCATTGCTGAGTGAAAATTGCTGCAAACATATCTGAAAAGTAATGTGACAATAGCTATTAAAACTGAAAATACATATAGCCTTTGACCCTAGAGTTCGACTTTGAGAAATTTATCTTACAGCAGTAAAAAATGTATAAGGATATTTATTGGCATATTGGCTGTATTGGGGGAGGAGGAATCATCAAAGAAAGGAACGGAGGGAGGTAGTGAGAAAGAAAAGAATGGAAGAGAAAACCTGGGGCAAACATGTATATCTCTCAATAGGAAAATGCTTAGTAAAATGTAGCATGTGCATATTATGGGTCACTAGATAAATACTAAAGGAGTAAATTAGACTTACATTTACTAATTTGGAAAGATGAATGTGATTTACTGTAGAGTTTTTTTTTTAAGTAAGTTACAACGTAACGGATATAGTACAATTCCATTTTTTCTAAAATAAAAACGATGATATAGTTATATGCGTTTTTGCAGAATATTATAATACTGACATGTTTTCATTTTACTAATTTCTTTTATACAGTGGCCCTCCTAAAGACATGGAAATAATGGGTACCCCAGCAGACTATAGAAATAAAGGTTAACTCATGGCTTTGAGTTTCAAATGCTGAGGTCCTCATCCAAACTATGACTGCCAAGCATCCTAACCATGAACACCTATCAGCAAAACCTTTGAAGCAGGTGCTCCGTTATGTGTATACTTAGGTATTTAAAAATTATGCACATGAATTACTATAGATTATAAAACATATTAGAATATATAATACGAAAAGATCCAAAAGAAGAAATAAATGATTTTAATAAGTTATGATTTACTGTGATTAATAGTACAAAATCTTTTTGGTATAATTAAAAACATATATGCTCCATTATAAACAATTTAAGTCCAGCAATGTAATTGAAAATGCTTTAATTTTTTTTAAATCTTGGTTTAACCCTTTGTAATACAGTAATTCAAAGCCTGCTTCCAGTTTCCATTTATTTCAATACTTGATTTTAATGGGTACTGTACTGTAGCTGAAAGTGGTATCTGTCAGATTTCCATATGTCCAAACTGAAGAAGTTCTTTGGGGTATTGCTTCCTCAATCTTAGCAAACAGAATTTGTCAAAAAGTTGACTAATACATTTCCATCTTCCCAGATACTTCAAACACACTAAAATTTCATGTTTTTAGAAAGTCATTTCAAAGCACATTGAAACCCTTCACTCTGAAAAGTTCCTACACATGGGCTAGAAAATTCTGTTTCCCAGGTTTTTAGGATGATAAAATTTTCATAGTTTTCATAAGCACTTTCAAAACATCCTGAGATACTTCACTGTGGAAGTTTTTTATATACGGATTAGAAAATTCTGTTTCCAAGGTTTGTTTTCTAGTAAGCAGATATAAGGGCTTTAAATTATTATTTATGAGTGACACATATGGTTTTCAGCAACAACAATTAAAAATACTGGAAATATTTCCGACCATTCATTTTCAAAATGCTCTCTTGAACCAAGAATTTACTTCAAAAAGCAATTACTTTCTTATGAATTGTTAAAACATTGAAGGGACAGATAAAATATGTTTAATTTTTAGAAGAGTATCTGCCAGGTAGCATTCAATTGACATTATCTCATTATTACAAATAGGGTCAGCAATCCTCAAAGTTTGTTTTTTAATGAGAGAAAAATGTCTTAGCATCAAGTCCCAGACTTTTAAGCACTTTGCCAAAAGATCACCAGTGAAGCTCTGGGTAGTACAAAAGATTTCAAAATTTTCTCCCCATTTCATTACAAGGTACTATAAAGAGTCTGCCATTGAAAGGTCTTGTGTTTTAAAAAGTAATCAGCTAATGGTATCTCATGGCAGATTAAATAGGTTGTGCTCAATGCCCTGAGAAGACAAGCAGCCAGGTAAGGTCACTGCTCTGAACCCTGCTCAGTGTCCACTCCATTCGACCCAAGTGTCAACTCGTGTTAAATATTAGGAAGCTTCACTCCTTTGCTTTTTGACTTAAAAATTAGAAACAGAAGTTCTAATAATTTTCTTTGACACACCAAGGAATCAATTGTGTAACCCACTTTGGAAATCACTGCTCTAAATAATTTATTCGGGAAAATACTTTTGATGCCATGAAGAGAGAAAAATGCTCAGGCAAAAAGAGATGACATGAGAGACTTGAGTAACAGAGTCCAGTGGGGGCTTGGAAAGGGATGCTGTCCCTGCTCCCAGGGCCAAGGCCAGCCCCGGGGATTGCGGGGGGAAGAATCCCCAGGTCAGTCTTGGGCGGCTCTGAGAAATTGTCTTCAGTTTCATTTTGCACTGTGATGCCAACAAGCCCAGTGTTCTCAAGCATCCAGGAAGGTAGACATAAGGGGCCTCCCAGAACCCCACCCACACTCCCCAGTGTGGCCTGTGGAGCTGCCTGGTGACCTGAGAGTCAGGGACAGGCCAATAGTAGGTGAATATGAGAAGCACACAGTCATAAGCTCCAATGGCTCACAATGCGGAAATGTGGATGACTTGGCAAACACAGCAAGAGAGACAACAGCAAGTCCAGAAGGAACAGTGTATGGCTCAGAAGAGGCGCGACAGTGATGACAATGAACCAGGGCAGTCCCCACCAGCACTGTCCACCCGCACCATTATTCTCACTGCCAAATCAGAGAGGCTCCTCCAGGAGAAGGGGACAGGGGAAACACAGCATGGCCGTGGCTGCATTCTCTGCCCCCACACAGAAGGGGAAGTGCAAAATGAAAATTAAGTTCCGCTGCAGTCAAAAAAGGCTGTGTTGTTTCCACTTCTGAATTTGTGGTTTGAGGTAAGTACCCACCACATGCATTGGTACCTTGTTACCCACACAGAGCTGTGCAAGGATACACTCCAAGCTGTGAACACGGAGCCTGGGACTGGAGGTGGTGTGGGGTGGGGAGAATACTGCTTTACACATCTTTGAACTGTTTTTCTTATTATAATGGCCATGGATAACTTTCGTATCTCAGATAAAATATAATTTAAAAATATGTATGTAGAGCACGTATGAGCAAGGCAGCCAGTTTTGGGAATGAAGCTATGGCTACAGATTCCCCTAGAAGACCCAGTCATTGTCCCAGGGGCACTGTGGTCACCACAGACCCACAAGTGCACGTCCATGGAGAGTGTCGTGACTCTGCAGGATGCTGTGCCAGAGAAAGGCACACAAGAAGCAGCACCTGATGCTTCAGTCAACTTCACAGAATTTTCTAAAAAATGCTTCGTAAAGAAGACCACCAAATCTGCTGAGAAGAGAGGATGCTGAAGAAGTGGCAAAAGCATAAAGCCACGCTATGAAAGCCTTATTTCCTTCTGAAGGGGAAAGAAAGAGGGTCAGACGTCCCAATACACTCAATAGCCTCCTTCGACCTTGTTCTTATTTTGTTCGGTCTATCCCCAGAAATCAAAGGAGAGCATCTTGGATATGTTGCAAAAGAATTAGGAGAATGTTGAATAACACTGCAGGTGATAAGCAACCTTACAATAAGCCTACCAAGCTGAGGAAATTTTTGAAAATGGTATTGCTTTGCCAGGTTAAAGCCTACCATAGGAGAAAAAGAAGTTGTCCTAAAAGCAATGTGGTATCTTAGACTAGAACTGAGAGCAGAAAAGGGACATTAGTAGAAAAACTAGTGAAATTCAAATAAAGTCTTGGGTTTAAATAGTAATGTACCATTGTCAGTGTCTTCGTTTTGACAAATGTACCATGGCAATGTAGGATTTGATTAGATGAGATAATCAACATCAAGGGAAACTGAGTAAGGGGATAGATAAGAACTCTCTGTCCATTGTTTAATCATCTAAAATTATTCCAAGTGAAAAGTTTATTTTTAAAAAACAGAGATACTTGCCAAGGATAAAACATCTAGTCCAAGGAAGAGGAAGATGAGGATGAAGTGGTTGAGGATGGAGTTGAGGAATTAGGTAGTCCTTTTGGGAAGCTGCATTGTCACCTGGAGTGACAATTTCCCAACTTAGAAGATGTTCTCTTCTCTGAAGGAATTAACTGCCCTACACACATCTCACTTGGTTTTTTAAAAATTGAAATAATAAGGATGTGTAGATAATTTTTGTGTAGTAAGCCTAGTATTAAGATTAAAACATTATGAACCTATCTTTTAGAGGTATTTGCAATAGACACTGACTTTGTATCTTACAGTATGGGGCTGTAAATTGACACAGAAATTTAAAGCAGGTCACATATAACACAAACTATATTTGGAGTAGTAGTTTTGTTTTTGATGCAACTTGTATTAACTCTTCTATGAACTTAATACCAGCTTATAATTGCAAGAAAAAAGATCCTGTTTTTTTGACATTCTGAATGCTTCTAAGTATATACAGTATTTTCAAATTTTAATAAAAACATGTGCTTTAAGGAAAAAATAAATATATGTAAACTGCTTCCAAAAATCTTGACCATTCTGAAAGGTAATACGATATTTCATTGTTGTCTGAATTGATGTTTTTATTATTAAGTATTAACTTTATAATCAGGAACATGAACAGAAAAATACACTTTAAGCCCACACAGGAATACACAAACTGGAGAGGAGAGAAACCGTCTGGACATGATGCTTAAATTTGGGTGGAGAGGACAAAGGAAGCACTTTCTATGGGAACAGAAGACGTGCTTCTCCCAGGAGGGTACTCTGACAGGTGTGGGGTGCGGGAGGGGAAGGGCAGCAGATAGCCTTTTGTACCAGGGTGTTGTATTGGTTTTTACATTTTTATAACAACAATAACTGTTATTAAAATAATAATAATTGCAAAATTTTCAAAAAAGTTTTAGTTGAAAATTCCTTTTTATTCCCCAATCTCATTTCCCAGAAGTAACCACTGGTAACTGCATATTTTTGGGCATCCTTCCAGACCCTTTCTATGCATATATAAGAATATAACTTTAACAGAAATAAATCAGATTGTACATAATATTGTATAATTTGCTTCTTTTTGTCATAAAACAATACATCATGAACATTTTCTCACTCTTTGTGTATGTAGACCTAATCCATTCTTTTGGGAAGTGGTATTGCATTTCTTTTTATGGATAAATATTCAATTATTTATCCAAACACCTATTGATTTTCATTTACAGTGTTTCCAGGTTTTTGCTATTATGGATGGTGCTGCCACATTGTTTGTGCTCTGATGAGCACAATCTTTACATCAAACCTTCTAGGCTTCCATCCTGGCATCTCCAAAGACTAACTATAATTTTGAACACATTATTTAACCTCCCTGAAACTCAGTGAATAATCACTGAGAGATAATGTCTACTTTATAGATATATTGCCGGGATTAAATGCACTTATATTAATGACTAAAATAAAATTAGCAAAAATGTCTAGTTGTTCCCCTGATATCTATGTGTTTCTTGTGTGTGTGTCTATAGGGAGAGAGACAGAGAAAAGAGAGATACATATAAAAAGAGAGAGAGAGAACTATAGGGATGGATGGATGGATGGATGGATGGATGGATGGATGCATGGATGGATAGTTGGATGGATGGGTGAGTAGATGGATGGATAGATGGGTGACTGGATGATAAATGGATGGGTAGATAGATAAATAGATAGATAACAGAGAGAGAGAGATACCTGGTAGGTAACAAAGCCTAGCATCAAGGCTAGGAATTTTATAAATTAATGATCTTAAATGAACTTAAATTCCTTCCTTTTACTTTCATGGAAATAGGGAGCAGACAAAACACAGTGGCAATGGGAGGTTTACATTCAACTAAAGTATATGCCTGAAGAGCCATTAAGCCCAGAGCAGTGCACCTGGAGTGACAATTTGCCAACTTAGAAGCAGTGGAGGAAATGCCGCTATTCTGGAGCTAAAGAGACATGGTTCCGGAAATGGAGTGGCAAGAACATTGAGAGAAAGTGGTCCTGTCATTTTAATAGCACGTGCTAGCCAGAGAGGGTACAGCTCAGTGTAATCACAAATGTATCCCAGACTCTAGCCAAAGAGACTGTGAAATGTCCAAAGAAAAGCAAGATGTAACTCCATGTCCTAAGACTTTTAAAAATGATACAGCTACAGATAAGGGAGGCTCTGAGAATCCAAGCCTGACCAGACTGTGATCAATGGTCTTGTCAAGGAGCAGAGGGGGAGAACATCTCAAAAGGCCTGTAAGATAACAAAATATTTAAAAGTAGAAGCACATCCTTGCAGTCACCTTTGATTTGTCCTCTAATTTTAATCAGTTCGCAAATCCAGCAAACATTATGCCCCGTACAAACTTCCTGCCAGAGTGATCTTCCTACACCCCGCTTGGCACACCAAGCCCCTTCATCCTCTGTGGCTCCCAGAACAAAGGCTACAGTCCTGGTACAGCTTCAGAGTCCTCTCAAATCAGGTTCCAGCCGGATATGCACCACTCCTCTCCAAATGCCCTGTGCTCTGACAGCACTGTCACTGATCATTCAAGAGTCTCCTTCCAGGAGTAATACTGTACCATCATCTGACTTGAACCCTGGGCCTGGAGTATATGTGGGAGACGTCTGGAGTTAGGAGCCTGTCTGGCATCCCCATTCCATTGGGAAATGGCCCCTGCAGGACTCCATCTGGCTCTGGTTAGATACCACTCACTAGATCCCACTCCTATCCCCGGTCATTGGATGTTTCTATCCTCTTGTTCACAGTGACCAGCCCACAGGATGGAAACATCTCAAGCAAGACCAAACCAGGTCACTGTCTTCCTTGGGCTGGGGCTGGCAGTTACCATCCTGCCTACCATGAGAACCAGACTCTGGGCTCCAGGAGGGCAAGGGATTTTTGTCTGGCATATAGTACATGCATGTTTGTTGAATTAATAATTGAATGTGATGGGATGGAATCAGAGCAAATAAAAGGACAAGCAGCACCAGTGTGCAGAGGGAGTTCTAAGCATGCACCCTCAGACCTCCCCATTAAGTGTGCTCACATGTTATATTTCTGTATTTCTGCTTATACTAGCTTTAGCTGGGCCTGGAGTATAGGTGGGAGACGTTTAATTGGGGTTTCTTTCACATACAACCAAAACACACTTCCCTACTCATGATCAAAAAGCTCAAATCTCTCCAGGTTCATTTCGTATGCTGGTTCTCCCATGCAGTCTTCCCAGATGCTCCCAGGTCAAGCCACCCTCTATGCCTTATGAAGTTTCATTGCACATTATCTCAAACTTCTAGTAACATGTCTTATTTTCTACCTTTATCTAAGGCAATTTATGTACACAACTGCAGCAGACATTGCTGGTGCCCACCCAGACACACCCCAGGATCCCTTTCGCTGGCCCTGCCCCAGGGCCCGCAGGTGCTGGCTAAAGGCTCACGTTCACAACCTTCCCTGGAGTAATCAAAGCCCAGAGGTGCCCACAGGGCCCTGTTGCCACCCCATGGCCAATGCTGCTGGAGAACAAAAGCCCATAGGACACTCTGCAGCATCACCTGTGTTCCTGGGGGTGAGGCCGACGCCTTGCCTGAGTAGGTCCATACCATCCTCCATCCCATCTCCCTAACTCCTTTATGAGCATCTCCCTTTCTCAATAAATAAAGTGCTCACAAATCTCCATGTCAGGCCCTGCTTCTAAGGAACACTATCCGAAGCACTAAACATTCCATCTTCCCAAACAAACCTTTCAAAAACAAGACTTACGTCGATTCTCCTTTCTGTCTCTTATAGCACAGTGCCTACATGGGAATGGCATCCTCTAAGAAACAAACAGGAAGGAAATGCAAGAATAAAGACACAACAGAGCAATTGAACAGAGTTAATAATTTTCAGTAAACAAAGAGGGGCACATGTTACGACATCAACCTGAAAACAGCATGAGGAAGCAAACTCCTAGAACAGGCTAAATCTTCAAAACAATTCATAGAACAACCAAAAATAGCCTGGTTTTGTTTGTTTTGCTTTTAAGATCCATCCAGAGGAAAAGCTAGACATGAAAAAATTAGCAATGCCATGTTTTAGAAATTATTCTTTTATTAATCCTCTTCAGTGTTTCCCAAACTCCTCAACTCATCTGTGATGAAACAGGCACTTTGATATCAATTGCAATATTACTGCAATGCCTTCAGGTTTAAGTGTGGGATCTGCAACAAACCCATTTTTTAAGGAGATTTTTTGTGTTTGTGTTTTTTTTTCTTCAAGGCTTGGCTCACTCCCCAAAGAAAGCCTTCTGCCACAAGAGGAAAAGAGAGAAAAAATAAAGAAAAAGAAACAAAACAGGGCCTTGCAAATTGAACAACATCTCTATTTCATGGGTTCTCTCTGGTATGATCCCCCCCTCCAAACCAATGATCTAGGCTATTATCTTGGGAGAACTGTACACAGTTGATCCTTTAATCACATGGGTTTAAACTGCATGAATTCATTTACACTCAGATTTTCTTCTGCCTCTTCCACCCCTAGAGAGCAAGACCAGCCCCTCTTCTTCTTCCTCTTCCTCAGCTACTCAATGTGAAGACAACAAGGGTAAAAACATTTATGATGATTATTTCCACTTAATGAATAGTAACTATATTTTTTTCTTATAATTTTATCAATAGCATTTTCTTTTCTCTATTGTAAGAGTATAATACATAATATGTATAACAAACACAGTATGTGTTAATTTTTTATATTATCAGTAAGGTTTCTTATCAACAGTAACCTATTCATAGTTAAATTTTAGGGAAGTCAAAAGTTATATGTCTGCATAGTATTCCATGGTGGTACATATGCACCATGGAATACTATGCAGCTATAAAAAAGAATGAGATCATGTCCTTTGCAGGGACATGGGTGGAGCTGGAGGCCATTATTCTTAGCAAACTGATGCAGGAACAGAAAACCAAATACTGCATGTTCTTACTTATAAGTGGGAGCTAAATAATGAGAACACATAGAAGGGAACAACACACACTGGGGCCTATTAGAGGGTGGAAGGTAGGGCAGGGAGAGGATCAGGAAAAATAACTAATGGGTACTAGGCTTAATACCTGAGTGATGAAATAATCTGAACAACAAAAGTTATATGTAAATTTTTGACTATGTAGGGAGTCAGCACCCCTAACTTCAACATTGTTCAAAGGTCAACTGTAATTGCTAGGATATTTTGTGAGAAGAAACTTCCAGACTATGTATAACTAAAAAAGCCTTCTCCACTTTGCAGAATCTGTGGACTCTATAATATTCCTGGCCTCCCAACATCACACTCAATTGCAAACCCCTCTCTGCTGCTTCAGCCTATGAGGCGTTAAGTGCTTAACCATTTCACAGTCTCTCTGTATAGGTAGTCTCTGATGTGCATGAAGGTACAGGCATAATTCCTCCCCAGAACAATTCATGCACACTTTCACAGAAACCCTCACACAGAAATATCACACTGTCTGGTTTTAATATTCATCTTCTTCTTCTCTGCCCTGAGTTCCTAATTCTTAGTGTGGGACAATGTTTTCCTATTAAGCTTTTTCCCCTAAGCCTCATTACCTCTCTGTGGTAGAAAATCATTGCAGTTCTTTGGCTGTCTTAGCAGGAAAGGAAATTAATTTACAAAAGAGGGCAAAATAATCTCCAAATAACAAATCCTTCTGAACTTGGAATTTGGCACTTCATAATCAAGTCAAATGAGAGGAGGGGAGTCTATTACTGTTTAACAATTTACAGGAGTGTCTGAAACTGCCTTGAAATTAACAAACATAAAATGGTGGAAAGAAGGGGAGCCAGTAGGAAGTTCTGGTCCCAGAAAACAACATCATGAAATGCCATTAATGAAGATAGTACCTGGATAGCACTCAGGACAGGAGGATGGCAATAGAGGATGTTCAATTAAATATGAAATCTAACAGAAAGAGGTTTACCATCACTTCTACTATAAATCAATGACTTCCAATTATTGTATCCAGCAAGCATGCCAAGTTACTCTAAACATTGTCTCTCTTTATCCTATGTCCTAACTATTTAATGGACTGAGAGTAACTGGCAGCAATAGGAAATCTTCAGAAATTAAGTCTACATGAAAGCCTAAGTCACAAATATAGGAAATACTAATGTTCCTTTTATCAGCACTCCAGGCAACCAAAAAAAGCCTTTATACTTTCTTTATTATAAAAGGAATCATTATAAAAGGGCCAAAGATAGATGGCCCTTGATATATGTAAGGAAGCTGCCACTAAATTTGACAACATTACTGTATCATATGGTTCCTCATAAGCAGTGTACTCTAGCATAAGCATAAAATAGCAAAATCAGGCAATACTTGTCCTTATACAGCCTCCCAGGTCCTTCCGAACTGGCAGAACTGTGCTAAACCCCCAAAATACAGATCAAGGCAGTAAATTACACTAATAAGTGTTGAAGTAGTGTGAACTCAAACATTTACTAATCTTGTGATCTAGAAGAAGTCACTTAATCCCTCCGAGCCATAGTTCAGTTCCCCACGGTGTTGTGAAATTTAAATGAGATCATGGATATAAAATGTCAAACCCACTGCAGACACTTGTTGAACTTGTGTTTTTTCTCCTTTTCTAGTACATACTTTGAAATAGGTCTAAAGGATTGGAGTCTACAGGTACAAGTATACAAAAAATACAAAAATACAAAAAACATGCCATTGACTAAGACTCTTCCCAATGCTGGGTAGAGCAGGTGCAGCATGGAGTTATGAGAACCACCGGATTCCCCCTGGGTGACTCCCAGCTTCTGGGAATGAGATTCCAGGGCCTGAAGGAAAGACTCCATCTCCCTGTCCCTTGGATGGTGCAGGGAAGAACTTACTCACTCAGTAGAAACTGAGACAAAGAAGCTTTTCTGCCCTTGCTCCAGAGTCCCAGCCCTTAGGGTCAGCATCAAGATGGCGAACCTGTAGCCATGATTAAACAACATATGGAGACACCAAGAGGCCCCTCAGAACCTGCATCAGGATAGCCAGCCTCCAGCATGCGAGACAACTTATGGAAGTGCCAAGAACCTGGACGCAATGGCCTCCTCTGGGAGTAAAATGGGTGGAATCAGTGGTAGAGGGTCCAGCTGGCCTCTGCCCGGTCCCCTACCTAGGAGGGTCTCTGTAGTCAAAGCAGAAACAGCAGGACCTGAGAACATGAATTCAGCCTCATTAGGGGTACTATCCTATTCAAAGATGTAGGGCATGTTGAAGGGAAAGTGCTTCCAGGCCTCCAGCTGTGCCTGGGATAAGAAACAACTAGCAACTGACAGGGTTCAATGGGTCAGAAAGGTCTCTTTCGACAGAGCAAGTGGAGACTCCAGGCTGTCCTTTCTCCATGATTCATTTAGTCATCAGACAGTCAGTCAGCACCTTTCCTGAGCTCCCTACAAGCCCACGCTTTGCCCCTGTCTGCCACAGTCACAGTGGACAGTGCAGCTGACCTATGCCCACAGTCCTAGAGTGGGACTCTTCCCCTTCTGACCCCTGAGGCTTCTCCAGCTCAGCCTCCACCAGAGGGGAGCTGGCCATTGTGCTCCCCTCAGCCCTTTCTCTTTCTCAATTTGATAAGGAAATTAGGATGTGACATTCACAGTAATTTCTCATGAGCTTGACCCACTCGAGTCACCTCCAGGCTCCCTGGCAAAATTGATTCGAGGCCCTCAAAGTGGATGGCCATAGTCCTGATGTGGTTACTCAGGGCATGCAATGTCCAAGCCCCTGGGCAGCCTCACTGGGCAGCCTCTTTCTTTCAGCACTCATTATACTCATATCTTGTTTTCCAAATATTTATTCTTATTTTAATTTTAACCCAAATCATTTCCTGAGTCAGACTGTAAGCCATGGTGTCAAACGGTTTGCACCTGCTGTGCAAGTCCTGCACTCCAGGTGTAAGTTCCTTACACCTGGGCACCTTGACCACTTGAATCTCTAATTGGCTGTGCCAACTCCCTTTCTCAACCCTTCCTATTCCAGCAAGCTTCTGCTAGCCCAACCTCCCCAGCACTCTCTTCTGGAAACTTATAAGCTGCCAATGCTCATTCCTTTCAAAGTTTATGAGGATATTTCCAACTTCAAAGAGGTGAGTTACATAAACGTCATATCTTTAAAAAGTTTAAAATAGATGCTCAGGATTTCTCTTTTCAAATGGGGCAGGTGGGGATTAAGTGCGGTTTTGACCACAAGGGACCATCTTGGCCTGGTTTGGGCTCATGCATGTGGTCTGATTACTCTAAGCTACCCAAACATTCAGTGGTAGCACAAGGAAAGCCCCTTCACATCCCAGCACTTTGCAAACTCTAATCAAAAAAGCCTCATTGAGATTAATGGAAAATGCCCTTTCTCCCATTTAGGAGTGCAGAACAGAGTAGGCATGGGAAGCGTCAATTTGAAATGGATCCAGCAAGAACCACTGGGCTCTTTAGTGCAAGCAACAGAAATTGATTCTAATTAAAGTTGGGGAACTGTTGGAAGGAATCTGGCAACTCACAGAATCACTGTGTATCAGTTCGTTTTCAGGTTGCTATGAAGACAGGGTAATTTATAAAGGAAAGAGGTTTAATTGACTCACAGTTCCACATGGCTGGGAAGGCCTCAGGAAACAATCATGGTGGAAGGGGAAGCAAACACATCCTTCTTCACATGGTGGCAGGAGAGAGAAGTGCTGAGCGAAGCAGGGAAAAGCCCCTTATAAAACCAACAGATCTCTTGAGAACTCACTCATTATCACGAGAACAGCATGGAGGAACCGCCCCCATGATCTAATCACCTCCCACGAGGTCCCTCCCCCAACACGTGGGGATTACAATTCGGATTACAATTCAAGATGAGATTTGGGTAAGGACACAGAGCCAGACCATATCACACTGCCAAAGCTATAGGATGAAGCTGGGATGTGAGGCAGCTCCAGGGGTTTGGAGAACAAACTACAAAAATAACTTTAGAGTAGAAATGGTGTGGCCAGAGTATCCTCCAGCCTCACACACCCCATGAATGATTTCCAGCCAGGTCTTTGGTCCTCAAATTTTTAGAGCCCCACGAGAAAGCATTTAAGTGGCCAGGTTAGGTCTTGGTGTTCCCCCCGGTTGTATTAGGCAGTTAAGAAGGCATATCTGGCCCCTTTGGCTTCTGTAAATGGGATAATCCCCCCAGACTACACATAAGGGCAAGATGGAACTCCCCAAAATGAAATCAGAGAGCAGTAGGAAGGAGGAAAGGATGAATATTCTCCCCGGTGAAAATGCAGAAAAGAGAGTCTTGACACCCTGAGCCCACCTGGTAGGGTTGCAGCCCATCTAGAACACCCTGAATCCCAGACAGGATTGGTACGGCAAGACTCCAAGCCTGCTCTGCAGGCCATGCTCTCCCTGCACCCATGCTGAAGGTCAGCAGCCACCCATTCCCAGGTAACTCTTCCCCTAAGCTTGGGAGAGGAGAGGTTAATGGAAAGCTAGGCTGGGGATGTCTATATGCCTGGTCTGGCTCCTCAGGGTGAACGTGACATGGAAAGGCAGCCTCTGCAAACCTGGCTGTCACCTATCAAGGTGAGACAAGCTGCAAGTAAGGACCTTCCCCAAATTGAGCTACTTTTAACTAAAGCAAGAATGGAACACGTGAAACTCCCCCTAAGGGAGTCGGGAGATGTGCCAGCTACTCAGGGCCATGATGGCAAAACCCAGCAAGTGGACAACAAAGGCAAACCTCACAGGCCCAGGGCCAATAACCTCTAGAAACCCCTCTGACCCCTGCTGGGTCAGGTCAACCTGGGCCTCTCCTGGACCCCACATGCTCCTTTGTAAATATTACTGCAGTTTGAATTTTACTTCCATGAGTAACTTTTTTACTGATGACAGTCTCTCTCATGGCACCATAATCTCCTCAAAGATAGGAATGCCAGGGGTAAGTCACAAACTACCTGCCCCTCACCCACAGGTGCCCTGCTACACTGAACCCATATGAACACACTAAACAATACAATACCCATCTGTCACCTCAAGGCCCCTTGGTGACACCTGTGATTGTTAATTTTATATGTCTATTTGACTGGGCCACAGGGTGTCCAGACATTTGGCTGAATATTAATCTGAGTGTGTCTGTGAGGGTGTTTCTGGGTGAGATTAGCATTTGACTGGGCCACAGGGTGTCCAGACATTTGGCTGAATATTAATCTGGGTGTGTCTGTGAGGGTGTTTCTGGATGAGATTAGCATTTGAATCAGTAACTAAGTAAGGTAGATCACCCCCACTAATGTAGGTGGGCTTCATCCCATCAGTTGAAGATCTGAATAAAACAAAAAGAAGCTGAGGGTCCAGGCGTGGTGGCTCACACCTGTAATCCCAGCACTTCGGGAGGCTGAGGCAGGCAGATCACCTGAGGTCGGAAGTTCAAGAGCAGCCTGACCAACATGGAGAAACCCCATCTCTACTAAAAATACAAAGTTAGCCAGGCATGATGGCACATGCCTGTAATCCCAGCTACTCAGGAGGCTGAGGCAGGAGAATCACTTGAACCCAGGAGCCAGAGGTTGTGGTGAGCCAAGATCACATCATTGCACTCCAGCCTGAGCTATGAGAGTGAAACTCCGTCTCAAAAAAAAAAAAAAAGAAAGAAAGAAAGAAAGAAAAAGAAAAAGAAGCTGAGGAAGCGGGAACTTTGTCTGCCTGACTGTGTTGAGCTGGGGCATTGGTATTTTCCAACCTTCAAACTTGAACTGAATCCTCTTTCAGACTGGAACTGACACCGCTGGCTCTCCTGGGTCTCCTGTTTCCTGACTGCACATCTTGGGATTTGTCAGCCTCCAAAAGTGCCTGAGCCAATTCCTTATAATGAATCTCTTCTTCTATGTGTATGTGTACTGATTCTGCTTCTCTGGAGGACCCTGACTGATGCAACACTTCTCAATGACACTCCTGCCCTGTCCTGGCCAAACTGAACCCTCCTCTGGGAAACTTTGGCCCTCTCTGTGACCTGGCAAATAAAGGGAACAAGACGAGGTGCAGCAGGGTCTCCAGAGTGTTGCACCAGTGCCTTGGCAGCATCTGCCTTGAGATGTTCAGGGCAATGAGTTGGCAAGGACATCCACCTGTGCACCCACCTGCTGATCCTGATGGAGCACATTTCCATCATCCAGGAGAGTTCCCTGTGCACTGCCAGCCAGTCTCCCACCCGCCCCCACCCGAGGCAACCACTGGTCTGCTTTCTGTAGCTCAAGATCAGATTCACTTTTTCCAGGGTTTCATAGACATAAAATGATACATAAGGTACTCTTTTTCCGGTCTGGCTTCTTTTGCTCAGCATAATGTTTTTGAGATTCATCTTTGTCACTGTGTGTATCACCAGATTGTTTTCTTTAATTACTGTCTAATTTCTATTACTGAGAACATCACTATTTGTTTATCTATTCACCTGTCAATGAACATTTGCATCATTTTCAGTTTTTTGCTTTTTCGATTAAAGCTGCGCTAAACATTCATGTCCAAGTCATTGTGTGGATATATTTTTTTCATTTCTTTTGGGTAATTTTTTTTTTTAAGACAGGATCTCACTCTGTCACCCAGGCTGGAGTGCAGTGGCACAATCTCGGCTCATTGTAACCTCCGCCTTCTGGGTTCAAGTGATTCTTGTGCCTCAGCCTCCTAAGTAGCTGAGACTACAGGCATGTGCCACCACTCCTGGCTAATTTTTGCATTTTTTGGTAGAGACAGGGTTTCACCATTTTTTGGTAGAGACAGGGTTGGCCAGGCTGGTCTCAAACTCCTGACCTCAAGTGATCCGCCTGCCTCAACCTCCAGAAGTGCTGGGATTACAGGTGTGAGCCACCACGCTCAGCCTCTTCTGGGTCAATATTTAGGAGCAGAATAGCAAAGTCCTAAGGTAATTTTATGCTTAGCTTTCTAAGAAACAGACAAACTGTCCTCTGAAATAGTTGCACAATCTTCCATTTTCACTAGCAAAGCTGGCAAAGTTTTAACATCACTCTGCCCACACAGACAGGTGGCGAAGTGTTCAGGTGCTGCCTGCAGGATGCAGAGTCAGGAAAAGGTTGTGATCATATCATAGTACAGCAGGCCTTCCCTGGCCAGGTCTAGAGCCCTCTCTTTGCTAAAGCTTTATAAGCTTTCTCTAGCCTTCAACACTGAGCTCCCCTCTGCATTTGCTGTGGGCATGAGAGCATATATCCACACAGCACAGCCATGCTAAGGTAGAGAGAGCACTATACATTTCCACCAGCCAAGGCTCAAGGGCCGGACCTCGCCCTACTGACCTGTATGTCTCTCCCCTTGACCCCACCTGCAAGAATCTCTCACCTGCCTTGCATTAACAATTGCCGCTACATGTTGGCGAACAACCAAATGAATGAATCAATGGATTGAGCCTGGTTTAATCACTTCTATCACGGCCACACCAGCCTTGCTGGAATTGGAGCACTGCATTCCACCCATGGATGCACCATTGTGAGCACTGACCTCACTCAGGGAAAACATTTCTTTTGATCTCTTGAGAACTTTCCTGCTTGTTGCTGGTGGCTTCAGGAGGGAGGAGGGGCTTCTGCAGACCCTGCTATTAACCCTGGCCTTCACCCTGAGGACTCACAGAGAGAGGCTCGGTGGTAGAGTCGCACGGAGGCTGGCAAGGAGCTCTCTGTGGTGTCTAGGCCTGGAGTGAAGGGCTCCAGGGCCAGTCTCAGGAGTCTCAGAAGTGGGCCCTGCCTTGTTGAATGGCAGTACATCCTAAGCCCAGATTTCTACTCTGAACAGAACAGAGTGATAATAACACATTCACAGTATCGCTCTGAGGATAGAATGAAATAATGTACATGAAAGTGCTTTGAAAACACTAAATTGCTCCCCAAACACAAGCCTCAATTATCATGCGGCACTGGGTTCTCCTCTGAGCCTGCCCCTGCCTCCCTTCACAGCTGGCACCACCAGGCACATTAGCTATGCCCAACAAGTCTCCCGCATCTGTCAGCCCGGGAGCTATGAGCAGATCCCCTGTAGAGCCCACCAGGGACCCTGGTATCATAAGCACAGTGAAGCCCAGACCAGTGAGGAGGCCTCCCGCCACTTGGGTCCTGAGGCAAACGAAATCAACTGGCTTGTGTCCAAAGACCTCAGGACCCACCAACCACCGTCTGTCCTCCCTCCCTTCTGCCTTTCTTCCTTCCTCCCTTCCTTCTTCCCTTTCCTCCTTCCTTCTTTCCTTCCTTCCTTTTTACCTTCTCTCCCTCCTTCTTTCATTCCTTCCTTTTCTGCCTTTCATCTGTTTTTCTCTCTTTCCCTCCTTCCTTCTCAGCTTCCTTCTCTCCTTCCTTTTTTCCTTCCCTGCTTCTTTCCCTCCCTTCTTCCTTTCTTCCTTCCTTCCCATCCTCCTTCTATCTTTCCTTCCTCCCTCTCTTCCCTTCTTCCTTCTTTCCTTCTCCTTTTTCCCTTCCTTCAGGCTTCCCTCCCTCCCTCTTTCCTGCCTTCCTTCCTAAGGACAAAAAGGATGGAAGGAAGAAAAGAGAGAGAGGGAAGGAGGGAAGGAAAAGGAGAAAGAACAAAGGAAGAAAAGAAGAAAGAAAAGAACAAAGGAGGGAAGGAAGGGAAGAATAAAGAAAGGAAGGAAGAAAAGAAGAAAATAAGGAAGCAAAAAGAGCAGAAGGAAGGAAGGAAAGAAGGAGGAAGGGAATGAAGGAAGAAAGGCAGAGGGAGGGAGGACAGAGGGTGGTCTGTGGATCCTGAGGTCTATGGCTTGGGCCACTCGCTCTCCTTTGGTCAGGCCTCCTCACTGGTCTGGGTTTCACTGTGCTCATGGTGCAAGGGTCCCTGGTGGGCTCCTACAGGGGTCTGCCACCCTTCCCTTCCCTCCTTCCCTTCCCGGCATTCCTTTCCAGCATCCCCGGGTTCATTGCTCTCCCCTACAAAGTTGCTTAGCATCTGGTGACTGGATGGAAGTGATCTTCCCCTACAGCCTTCTTTCCCAATTTCCACCTTGCTTCTCTACTTAAGGAGACAACCTGAAGCTGCCAGTCCCTAAAAATCAGAAAAAAGCCCCAGCTCAGCTGCATAGACCTCCCAAGCACCTGACAAACGTTAGAACTGTCCAAAAGCTCCACTTGAAAATGATGCCCAGAGAAGTTACATTGCCTGGAGCCATGTCAGCTTCCTAAATGGAGAGGGAGGGAAGAAAACATCATCACAGATGTGTCCAGCACAACCTGGCCTCAAGGCACACTAACAGCTCCCAGTGGGGATCCTAGAATGCAAGATGGTGGCTCAAGAGAAACCATCTTGATCAAGGTGCCACCCTTGCCCCAGGGAGACTGAGTGTCTAAAGCACTGAGCAGGGCTATGACAACTGAACACTCTGCTCAGGTTTGGGAGGTACTGGGTTTGGGGAGAAATTTAAAAATTTATGAAACCACTCAGTACTACCCTTCCAGATATCCTTTCTTCCTAACCCTCTACACCCATCCTTAATTCAATACACAATTGTTAATCCCGACTCTGGGACAAGCTAGGGAAGCAATGCTGAGTGAGACTTGGTTCCTATGCTTAAACCACTCATGGTTTACAGGGAAAGACAGGCACATAAATGGATAATTTTAAAGTAATATGCTAAGTGCTCTGCTAGGCATAAGAAGCAGGTTCTGTGTGAGCCTAAGAGGAGCTGCCCAACCCAGCCAGGGAAGTCTGGAAGAATGACATGTGTTGCTGATGCCTGAACTGGAGGTTATTTCTTTATTTACTTCCCTTGCTGTAACTATATCATGGATTCCAGAACATGTTCCTGGAGGCAGTTGAAACTTAGAAGGCTCATGGCTTTCTTCATGGGAACAAGCTACATCTTTCAGCCAAAAAAAAAAAGATTCTTCTGACCTTTCTTTCATATGAAATTGGGTTTCGGGTCCCATGGATTCTACTACTGAATTATCTCTTCACTCCAACCCTTCCTTCCTTTCTCCACTGCCACTACCTTACTCCCAGGTATTGACCATCACCTCTCTGCCAAGTTAAGAAACCAGTCCTCTTTCCTAAGACTCCCATCCCATTTCTCACTTACCCTCCAATGCACTCGCCACACAGTGGACAGGGTGACTTTTGCTCACTTCCATCTGAACAAGTCAGACTTGTGCTCAAACCTCTGCTAAGGCTCTCATAGCTTTTCAAAAAAACTCTAACCTCCTGACACCAGGCCCCTGATGATCTCCCCATCCTCCACTCTTACCACGCCCAACCTGATTCCAAAGCAGCTTCCCAAATCCGTGGGGTTATTTCATGTCCATATGTATAAGACTACTCCTTCACCATGATTCTCCTGGTCACACCTTGCCTCAAAGGTAGATATAGCCACTACATTCCTTGAGCCATTACTTCACCCTGGTCATCCTTCTATGTGTGTAACATTTTGTTGCTTTTGTATGCAACTTGTCCCTCTCCTTTTCACATTATGAGATGAAAACAAGCCCTATATCTTATTTCTCATTCTAGCAGCAGCACCTGACACAGCACATGCAGAAATTACTTAAAAGGTCCTCATATCTAACTGAAAGAGGATTTATACATGGCAGAGTAAGGACTTCCATAAATAAGCCCTTCCATAAAAGAATTAAAAAATCACAAGCATCCCTACAGCAATAACAGACAAACAGAGAGCCAAATCATGAGCGAACTCCCATTCACAATTGCTACTAAGACAATAAAATACCTAGGAATACAACTTAAAAGGGATATGAAGGATCTCTTCAAGGAGGACTATAGACCACTGCTCAAGGAAATAAGAGAGGACACAAACAAATGGAAAAACATTCCATGCTCATGGATAAGAACAATCAATATCATGAAAATGGCCATACTGCCCAAAGTAATTTATGGACTCAATGCTATCCCCCTCAAGCTACCATTGACTTTCTTCAAAGAATTGGGAAAAAACATGAAAAAATAAATTTCATATGGAACCAAAAAAGAGACCACAGAGCCAAGACAATCCTAAGCAAAAAGAACAAAGCTAGAGGCATCATGCTACCTGACTTCAAACTATACCACAAAGCTACAGTAACCAAAACAGCATGGTACTGGTACCAAAACAGATATATGGACCAATGGAACAGAATAGAGGCCTCAGAAATAATGTTACACATCTACAACCATCTAATCTTTGACAAACCTGACAAAAACAAGCAATGGGGAAAGGATTCACTATTTAATAAATGGTGTTGAGAAAACGGGCTAGCCATATGCCAAAAGCTGAAACTGGATCCCTTCCTTACACCTTTTACAAAAATTAACTCCAGATGGATTAAAGACTTAAATATTAGACCTAAAACCATAAAAACCCTAGAAGAATACCTAGGCAGTACCATTCAGGACATAGGCATGGGCAAAGACTTCATGTCTAAAATACCAAAAGCAATGGCAATGAAAGCCAAAATTGACAAATGGGATCTCATTAAACTAAAGAGCTTCTGCACAGCAAAAGAAACTATCATCAGAGTGAACATGTAACCTACAGAATGGGAGAAAAATTTTGCAATCTATCCATCTGCAAAGGGCTAATATCCAGAATCTACAAGGAGCTGAAACAAATTTACAAGAAAAAAACAACCCCATCAAAAAGTGGGCAAAGGATATGAATAGACACTTCTCAAAAGAAGACATTTATGCAGCCAACAAACATATGAAAAAAAGCTCATCATCACTGATCATTAGAGAAATGCAAATCAAAAGCACAAAGAGACACCATCTCATGCCAGTTAGAATGGCAATCATTGAAAAGTCAGGAAACAACAGGTGCTGGAGAGGATGTGGAGAAAATGAATGCTTTTACACTGTTGGTGGGAGTGTAAATTAGTTCAACCATTGTGGAAGACAGTGTGGCAATTCCTCAAGGATCTAGAACTAGAA
Source organism: Homo sapiens (assembly GCF_000001405.40). Taxonomy (NCBI): domain Eukaryota; kingdom Metazoa; phylum Chordata; class Mammalia; order Primates; family Hominidae; genus Homo; species Homo sapiens. The sequence goes on from NC_000010.11 coordinate 85,965,255, forward strand.
ATACCATTTGATCCAGCAATCCCATTACTGGGTATATACCCAAATAATTATAAATCATTCTACTATGAAGACACATGCACACATATGTTTATTGTGGCACTGTTCACAATAGCAAAGATTTGGAACCAATCCAAATGCCCATCAATGATAGCCTGGATAAGGAAAATGTGGCACATATACACCGTGGAATACTATGCAGCCAGAAAAAAAGATGAGTTCATGTCCTTTGCAGGGACATGGATGACACTGGAAACCATCATTCTCAGCAATCTAACACAAGAACAGAAAACCAAACACCACATGTTCTCACTCATAAGTGGGAGTTAAACACTGAGAACACATGGACATAGGGAGAGGAACATCACACACCAGGGCCTGTCAGGGGGTGGGAGGCTAGGGGAGGGATAGCATTATGAGAAATACCTAATGTAGATGATGGGTTGATGGGTGCAGCAAACCACAATGGTACATGTATACCTATGTAACAAACCTGCGTGTTCTGCACATGTACCCCAGAACTTAAAATATAATAAAAAAAAAAACTTTCTCACAACCCTAGAAATTAACCAAAGCCATATAACAACCTAAGGAGTGTTTATTCAAAAAATCCCAGCTAATCCTTGGTAAGAACATCAGGATTTATGGTACTTTAACTAGATCTACTCCCACCACCTCCTCCCCAGCTCCAGAGTAGCCTTAAAAACCAGCAATCACTCAACCCAGGTGGTTAAGAAGACCATCTTCCTTGCAGCTACAAGATGGGGTGGGAACTGAGTTTGGAGCGTCTTAAAAAGTTCCATTCTCCAGGGCATTGTCACAATTTGACGTGTTTCCTGGAAGATCCTTATGCACACGGTGTTGTCATTATTTGACCTGGCTTAAAGCTCACTAGGTAGGAAAAGCCCTGTCCTTAGAGCACTTGTTAAAAACAATTAGAAGCAATTGTTTAGCATCACAAATACCTGAGTCTGTAATAACAGTTAGGAAAAACAACAGCCTGGCCAAAACCTTAAAAGGAAAATAGAGAGAAAGATGCCCATAGGGACATTGGGAAATCTCTGATCTATTCCTGGATATTTAGGACACACCTGGAAAGATCTCAGAAAGCTCCAATATCTTACCTCTGGCTGGCCTTGAGACCATATATAAGTAGAAAGTAAAGAATACAGAGAGTTGTAAGTACCTACATGAGCATCTAAAGCATGCCCCATCATACATACAGAACCCCCAGGAAAGGGTAAAAATTATATTGATTAAAGGCATCTAAAGAGATATCTGGCCAGATACGGTGGCTCACACCTGTAATCCAAGGACTTTGGGAGGCTGAGGTGGGTGGATCACCTGAGGTCAGGAGTTTGAGACCAGCCTGACCAACAAGGCAAAACCCTAGCTCTACTAAAAATATAAAAATTAGCTGGACATGGTGGTGTGTACCTGTAATCCCAGCTACTCAGGAGGCTGAGGCAGGAGAATCACTTGAACCCGAGAGGCAGAGGTTTCAGTGAGCCAAGATCATGCCACTGCACTCCAGCCTGGGTGACAGAGTGAGACTCCACCTCAAAAAAAAAAAAGCAGAAAGAAATATATGACCACCAAGTATTAGCTGACTACTAAGAAAACTGAGCAGAGACTTAAATGGATACTGACATGGTTTGGCTGTGTCCCCACCCAAATCTCACCTTGAATTGTAATAATCCCCATGCCTTAAGGGCAGGGACAGGTGGAGATAATTGACTACTGGGAGCAGTTTTCCCCATACTGTTCTCATGGTAGTGAATAAGTCTCACAAGATCTGATGGTTTTATAAATGGCAGTTCCCCTGCACAAGCTCTCTCACCTGCTGCCACGTAAGATATATCTTGCTTCCCCTTTGCTTTCTGCCATGATTGTGAGGCCTCCCCAGCCATGTGGAACTGTGAGTCAATTAAACCTTTTTCTTTATAAATTACTCAGTTCCAGGTATGTCTTTATTGCAGCATGAGAACAAACTAATACAGATACACACTACAGGTAATAAAGACATCACAAAACTAGTCCATCAAAGTTACTAAACAAGTATATAGCAACAGCAACACCACCAAAAGAGAAAGAAAGAAAGAAAGAAAGAGAGAAAAGCAACAAACCCAGGATAAAGGGGACTTATTTCCAGAGTTGCCACATCATATTATCTAAAGTGTTCAGTTTTCAACAAAATATATGAGACATTCAGAAAAATAGGAAAAAATGCATTCAATATAAATTGTCCCATGGGGGACAGTTGTTGAAATTAGTACCCAAAGACTTTAAGTCAGCTATTAAAAATATTTTCAAGGAACTAGAGAAAATCGTGTCTAAAAAAATTAAAGTATAACAATAGTATCTCACCAAATGGAGAATGTCAATAAAGAGACAGAAATTATATTTTTAAAGAACTAAATGAAATTCTTGAATGAAGCTCAATCAATGCTAAGAAGGAGAACTCAGGGAGACTCATGCCTAAATACATCATAAAACCAAAGCCAGAGATTCTTGAAAGTAGCAAGAAAGAAATGACTCATCACTGATGAGGAATAAGATTGTCATCTGACTTCTCAGCAGAGACCATGGTGGCCAGAGGTAGTAAGATGACATGTTCAAAGTACTGCAAGTAAAAGACCGTCAGTCAAGAATTTTATATCTGGCAAAAACTAGCCAGCAAAAATGAAGGAGAAATTAAGACATTCACAGATAAATGAGAATGGATAAAATTTGTTATTATATTGGCTTTACAAGAGATACTAGAAGTCCTTTAGTCTCAAATGAAAAGACAATAGATAATAATCTGAATTAACATACAAAATAAAGAGCACTGATAAAGGTAACAATATAAGTAAAAATGAAGGTATAAATGTATTTTTGTAACTCTGTCCTCCTATTTGATCAAAAGACAACTGCCTGCCAGGTGCAGTGGCTCACTCCTGTAATCCCAGCACTTTGGGAGGCCGAGGCGGGTGGATCACAAGGTCAAGAGATCGAGACCATCCTGGCTAACATGGTGAAACCCCCGTCTCTACTAAAAATACAAAAAATTTGCTGGGCCTGGTGGCGGGCACCTGTAGTCCCAGCTACTCGGGAGGCTGAGGCAGGAGAATGGCATGAACCCGGGAGGCGGAGCTGGCTGTGAGCCGGGATCGCGCCACTGCACTCTAGCCTGGACGACACAGCAAGACTCTGTCTCAAAAAAAAAAAAAAAAAAAAGACAACTGCCTGTAATAACACTTTTAAATCTGTATTGACAGGCTTCAAATGTATAAATATGCAATTTCGACAGCAACAATAATATAAAGAAGGGGGAGGAAACAGCTACACTAAAGCAAAGTTTTTGCATAACATTTAAAATTATCTACCATTAATCTGTTCCAGTTTGTTTTAAGGTAACATGTTAATTGTAATTCCCAGGGCAACCACCACAAAAATAACTAAAAAATATATACAGAAAAAGAAACAAGGGAATTAAAATGTTACATTAGAAAATATATATTGAATGCAAAATAAAGCAGTAATGGAAAAAGGAACAAACACATAAGACATGTAGAAAACAAACAACAAAATGGAAGGTGCTAATCTACTTTATCAGTAATTACATTAAATGTAAATGAATTAAATACTCCAATCAGAAGGCAGAACGACAGAGTGAATTTTTTAAAAGATGCAACCAGATGTAATCTACAAAAAACACACTTTAGTTTCAAAGATATAATAGGTTGAAAGTAAAACAATGGGAAAATATGTACCATACAAACAGTAACCACAAGACAGCTGAAGTGGCTGTACTAATAGCAGACAAAATAGACTTTAAGACAAAAGTGCTATTGAACACAAAAGGAACATTTTATAATGATAAAGTGTCCATCTATTAGGAAGGTATGTTTTATAAACCTATGTTCATCTAACAATAGCACCCCAAAAACACAGGAGGCAAAAATTGACAGTATTGAAGGTGGACATAAATAATTCAATGATAATATTATAGTTGGAGACTACAATATCTCACTTTCCATAATTGGTAGAACAACTAGACAGAAGTTCAATCAGGAAACAGCTTGAAAAATGCTATAAACCAACTAGATTTAACAGATATCTATGGAACACTCCATTCAACAAGAGGAGAATTCTTCTCATGCACACATGGAACATTTCCCCAGGATAGGACAGACTATGTGCTATGCCCTAAAACATGCCTCGATAAAAGTAAAAGGATTAAAATCACACAAAGTATGTTATTTGACCTAAATAGAATTAAAGTAGAAAATCTATACTAGAAGGAAATTTCGAAAATTCATGAATATGTGGAAATTAGACCACAAACCCCTCAATAATCAATGAGTCAAAGAAGAAATTACAAAGAAAATTTTTTAAAACTTTGAGATTAATGAGAAAAACATACAGAATATCAAAATTTATAGGATGTGACAAAAGCAGTGCCTAGAGGAAAATTTGTGGGTGTAAACACCTACGTTGAAAGAGAAAGAAGGCCTCAAATCAGTAACTTAACCTTCTCCCTTAAGAAACTAAAAAGATAAAGAGCAAACTAACACCAAAATAAGGAAAATTAAGGAAATAATAAAGATTGGAATGGAAATAAATGAAATAGAGCATAGAAAAATAATAGAGAAAATCAATAAGCAAAGAGTTGATTTTTTTCAAGACTGACAAAATTGATAAAATTTAACTAGATTTATCAATTAAAAATTATAGAAGATTCAAATTACTAGAATCAGAAATAAAAGAGGGGATTTCACTACTGACCTTAAAAAAATAAAAATAAATAGCTGTGTGACAACAAACTAAATAAGCGAACTAGATATATTTCTAGAAAGACACAAACTGCTGAAACTCTCTCAAAAAGAAACAGAATTCCTGAATATACCTATAACAAGTTAAGAAATTGAATTGGTAATTTTAAAACTTCCCACAAAGTAAAGTCAAAGCCCAGATGTCTTCACTGGCGAATTCTTTCAAATATTTAAAGAAGATTTAATGCCATGCCTTCACAAACTCTTCCAAAAAATAGAATAGGAGGGAACACTTCCAAACTCATTCTAAGAGGCTACTGTTACCCTGATACTAAAATCAGACAAAGACACCACAAGAAAAGAGGACTACAGACCAGTAACCTTTATGAATATCGGCACAAAAAATTTCAACAAAATGCTAGCAAAATAAATCCAGCAGCATATAACAAGAATTATACATGACCGTCAAGTGAGATTTATCCTAGGAATGCAGGATTTGTTTAACATCTGAAAACCAATCAATGTAATATGCCATAGTTAACAGAATAAAGGACAAAAAACATATGATTATCTTTACAGATGCAGAAAAAGCATTTGACAAAATTCAAAGCTTTTCATGATTAAAAACAACAACAACACTCAACGAATTAGGAATAGAAGAAAACTCCTTCAACCTGATAAAGGACATCTATGAAACATCTGCAGCTAACATCATACTGAATGATGAAAGACTCAATGTTTTTCCCCTAAGACAAGGAACAAGACAAGGATATCCACTTTTGCAACTTCTACTCAATATTGTACTGGAGATTCTAGTCATGCAAATCAGGCAAGAAAAGGAAATTTTAAAACATCTAGAAGGAAATAGGGAGGAAGAAGTAAAACTATCTATATTTGCAGATGACACAGCTCATTTATTTTTTTTAAAGTCCTAAGATATTCACACAAAAAACTATCAAGGCTAATAAATAAATTCTGCAAGGTTGCAGGATACAAGATCAATATGTAAAAATCAACTCTATTTCTATATACTATCATGAAAATAAAAATAAAATTAATGAAACAATTCCATTTACAGTAGTATGAAAAGGAAATCAAATTTAGGAATAAAAATAACAAATCTAAGTGAAAACAGATGCACTTAGATGGTTCCCCAGTGACAACCTTTCCCCAGGAGTCATTCAGCTTCAGATCTAAATGTAAAAGGTAAAATAAAAATAAATAAGCTTCTAAAACAAAATATAGGAAGATAGCTTCCTTGCCTTAATGTAGGCATAGATTTTTAAAATAAGACAAAAGGCAGTAACCATTTAAAAATAATCAATCATACTTTATTAAAAAGTAATAACTGTTGCTCACCAAAAGACACCAAATTTAGATAGTGAAAAAGATGATACAAATGACAAGGTATTCATAATACATATGTCCCAAAAAGACCCATATTCAGCATTTTTAGTTTTAAAAATTATCCTGTAAATCAAAAAGAAAAAGTCCAACAACCCAATTGAAAAAGTAAAGTGGGAGAAAGTTCTGAACAAGCCTTTTACAAAACAGGATATCCAAATGGCTGGTAAGAATGTGAAAAATGCTCAACATCTTCAGTCATCAGGGAAATGGAAATTAAAACCACAGTGAGACTCACTCCTGCCTTTGGAATAGCTGAAATTAAAAAGACTACCAACACTAAGTGTTGTTGAGAATGTAGAGTATCTGAAACTTTCATACAGTTCAGGTGGGAAAAAATTCCTGCAATCATTTTGGGATAATGTTTGCCAGCATCTTCTAAGACTAAACATACATCTACTTTATAATCCTGCAATCCCATTTCTAGGTATATACCCTAGATAAGTGGGTGCATATGCCCACCAAAAGACAAGAACAAGAATAAAACAATAAGAGCTTTATTCATCATAGCCAAAAATTAGAAATAACCCAAATTTCCATTAACAAAAGAATAAATAAATGACCGTATATTCTTACAAAGGAATTCTACATGTCTACGTGGTAACAAATGAGAATCAACCCCTAACAGACACAACAACATGGGAAAATGTCAAAGACATTATGTTGCATGACAGAAGCCAGACATCTCCTGTGGATCTCATGTTGTGTCTCAGAAAAAGCGTTCAAGGTTTTCCTGACCATTTTTCTTTTTTTTTTTTAACTGACCCATAATTTTGATGGCTCATAGTGAGCTTGAATACAACTCACATTCCTAAGTCTCTTTTTCCCCCGGTACAGCTAGGACTCATTGTTCTCATTCCATCCTTTGGCACATTTTTTAATCTAATGTTATTTTTACTTGTTTACTGAAAAATGAAACAACCCTAATGGAAATCAAAGGCAATTGGGAAGAGCGTAATTTCCCACAGGCCAGCCATCCCATGAATCGTCAGATTCCAGGGCCTTAGTCATGTATATATTTATATAACTATATTAAATATATGTATATATTTATATAAATATATTAAATATATTTATATATTTAATTTTTATGTACTTTTAATCACTACATAGGTATAATTCTGCTATTTCAATACTCATGATCATATCAGAAATACTTTCTCAGTGCCTTTGCAATCATCATGTTTATTGGCTACACAATAGTCTATTGCGTGGCTATTCCATAATGTACTTAGCTATTCCCTACACTGAACATTTAGGTTGTTTCCAATTGTTCAGTATGGAAGATAGCACTACAATACAATCCTTATATATTTATGTATTTCTCACTTAAATTACAAGGTTAGGATAAATTTTAACAAGTGAGATTATTGGGTCAAACAAATGAACACATTGATGATTCTAGGTATGTTTTACAAATGGTTTTTCCCATTGACACAGCAACCAGCAATGTATAAAGTCACCAGTTTTATCACAACCTTGATAGCATTACTACTTTTAATCATCTATAATAGATATAATAGATATAAGATGATTGCATGGATTTCATTTTATTTTGAAATTCACTGGTTATTCCTGAAGATGTTCATTTTGCTATGTTTGTTTTGAAGTCTTGGTATTTAACATAGGGCCAGGCACAGAGCAAGGTGGCACCACGTGACTTTTCAGGTGAACTGAACCTTATTCATTCCGATGTCACTTGTTCATTCATACCTTTTGTCCAGTGTTAACCAGGTTTGAATTTGCCTATTAATTTGAATGAGGCAAGGTAAATATTCCCATTTTGTATATTTGTAACAAATAATTTTCCCTTCACTTTTTTTTCTTTATTTTTTGTCTTTATAAAGAAGTTTTTACTTTTTGTACATTGGATCTATTTACTTTTTAAATATTTTTACCACTTTAAAATTTAGAGTGTTACCTGAAAAATCATGTAGCCTACTTTTTGCTATTTGTAGTTATTTTTTTCCAAATAACTAATACATTCTTCCAACATCCTTCATTACAAATCCTTCTTTTCTCCATGGTATTTGATTCCTCCTTTATCTTCTCTTATTTTATGTATAAGGAACTCTTTCAGATTTGTCTTTCGTTGCTGGAAGTCTCTGTTTGTACCAGTGTTTCTCAGATTTAATTAACATGGGCTTCTATGTTCTAAAATCTGTTAATACTGGCCCCCTTCATTATTTGCTATTTTCTAACTATTTCTATATAAAGTAGCTTTTCCTTTCCAGTTTTATTTTCTAATCATTTTGTAAAAATCTAATAAGACACTGAATGGAAATTTTGATGAGGATTAGGCTACAATTATAAATTGAGAATAGACTTTTTAAGTATTTAACCAAAAGACTACAGCAGGGAATATATTAAGTCTCCTTGATTATTCATCTCTTATTTCTTTCAATGAAATATGGTAAAGAGCCAAAGAGCATGGGTTCTGAAGTCAGATTATGTGGATTTGAATCCCAGCCCAGCTACAAACTGGCAACATATATTAGTCATGCTGCTAAGTGGCAAACAACCACAAAATCTCATTATCACCCAATATAAGAGTGTATGTCTCATATTCGCAGACTGGGGAGTCACCTGGATGGCCCAGCTCCACACGTCCCATTCTTGGGCTCAGTGTGAGGGCAGTGTATACCTGGGGCATATTCTCTTTATCAGAGTAGATGGGTAGGTGGACGCCTGCTTTCTACGGAAAGTCTATGCTCAGAACTTGCATGCTCACTTTTGCCAGCATGCCATTGGCCAAAGCAAGCTCATGACCAGATCCAGTATCAATTGTGCACATAAATAAATTCATCAGTCAATATTTAGGAAAGAAATACCGAGGGAAAGTCACACAAAGCCCAAGCCTCAAGTTTTTTGTTTGTTTTGTTTTGTTTTGTTTTGTTTTGTTTTTTGTAAAACAGAGATTATCACCTGCCTCTCTCAGGGGGCTGTGTGAGGACTAAATGGGATAATGTCTGAAAACCACTTGGCATTATGCCTGATAAGTAGCAAGAACACAAGAAATGTCAGGTACTATTATTGTTTTTAATTATAGACCAAATGCTGCCATTGACCTTTTGAATCTAAGTGGAAGACTTTCAATTTTTCCACATCAGATTTTATCTTGTTATCTCTGACACACTGCACCAGTCATTGGAGATATTTGGGATCCTCATCTGTCAAGCAAATAAATATGAGAGCACTATGCTAAATATGCTCCCCTATATTACCTGGCAGGTTGTGCAGCACTAATGAAATAGTGACCCTCTTGACTTTCTGCAACCAGTCAGTGCTCCACCACTTTTCATGGATGATGGACATGTTGAACGCTACCTAATGCTTCCCAAGTAGCTGGGACCACAGGCACGCACCACTATGCCTGGCTAATTTTTTATTTTTGCAGTGACAGGGTCTCACTATGTTGCCCAGGCTGTTCTCAAACTCCTGGCCCCAAGCCATCCTCCCACCTTGGACTCCCAAAGTGTTGGGATTATAGGTGTGGGCCATGAGCATGGCCTAAAGCCTTCCTTTGATTGACTTTGATCAGTGAATCAATAACTTCTAGGTACATGTGTTTAAAGTTACACATCAACCTAATTGCCCTGCTTAAAATTCTGTGTTTCTCCATGTTCTCTACAAGGGTTTCATCCAGAGCCTCATGCAAATCTAAATATGCCACCTTAGACATTCCCATTCTCATCATTTGCCCAAATGAATTTGTCCAAAATCTCTACATGTGGCTCTGTTAGTCTATCCAAACGTTCTCTGTCTCCATTAGGGACATTCATAATTACTTCCCCACATTCAGTTTCTAATCTGCACAACCCGAAAAGCCATCTTCCCTTATTTTGACAAAAACACTGAGATTTCTCGGGACTTTTTGAAATCCTCCTTGCTGAGGTGCAGGGTGGACAGGGCTTGCGCAGCCTTTCCTGGCTGACTGTGGGGAACTGAAGGGCCATCAGTCGGGCCAGCCTGTCACGAGGCTACTCTTACTTCCACTTCACCAAGTGGCTCCTCCAGGCCATCCACATTTAGGGCCAAGAGGGCGATTGTCCTAATTGGATCCTCTACCATACGGGAAACAAAATAAAATAAAAAAGCTATAAGATGCTTGATGAGATCTAGTGGATGGCTCATCTGTGGTTGGGATCAACTGGAGTTTGCAAACAAGAAAAGCTGAATGGCCTCCCTGCGGAAAATGAGCAGTGTCCAGTCTATAGTAAGCTACCCCAGAACCCAAACTTTTGGAGACTGACTCTTTTTGGTCCAGGCCTATGGTCAAGGGGTCTCCAAGTTGCCCTCTTTCAACTCAGCTCCAGGAGGCAAGGACTGCCCAGCAGATGATCAAGAAAATCGACCCTCAAGGTCAAGCTCTCTCTCTCAGAGGCCACCTTTCCCAAAAACTTAATTCATGCACCCAAAAAGGACAATAGTGGTTTCTTTCCTATAAAATATATTTCATCTACATGAAAAATATTAACATATTTATGTGGTTTTTCCTTATTATTCTTCCAAAATCTGTCATTTAGAACTAGCGTGCCATCTGTGAGAACACCAGGAAGCCCCAGGAGAGCTCACCTATGGCTCAGGCACCCTCTGCCTCTGTTCACCTTACCAGCTCATCACGGGGTGGGCAAGTGTTGTCTAATAGATGCCAACACTTCCGTGATGTGTGCCTTGTCTTTCTTACGATCTGAACATCTTTGTACTATTCTCTTCTCTTTTTTCCCCTTAATTAATAAGAAGCATTTATTTTCTCTAATTTGATTATTGTTTTTTTTGTTCTGTTTTCAAATAACAACAAAATGACCAGAGATCAAACTGTGATCATTTCCTGTAGCAATTAATCTATCTGCAAGGCTGTGTTCTGCTGAGCACTTTGATCCGAGTTAATCACAACTCTGGATGGTGCTCCATCAATACATCCCAATTACTAGCATGACCTCAAGTCAAGTGATTTTAAGGCACTGCCCCCAGGGAGTGGGGATGCCTCCAGACTGAGTGAAGGCAGGCTGAGCTCCTGCTCACCAGACCCATGTCTGGCTCTCTCCAGAGGATGGCACCTCCTTCAGGTGAGTAGAAGGAAGGCTACAGATTCTAGCTTCTGCAAGAACTCACCTATGGGGCAAGCCACTGCTTCCTTGTCTTAGAAAACCTGACCTACCCATCTAGCTCCCCGGCCCCTTGCCCCCGTGGCATCCACCTGTGCGTGCACCTCCAGGAGGGTCCCTCACATTCCAGGATGATATGCAGGAGACGTAGCCCTCGTCCAGTTCCCCAGTGTCCCTGCAGCAACCTGAGGAGAAGCAGCTGCTGCTCTTGGCTGCAGACCTGAACAGGCTTACCTGTTTCCCTCTGTGTATGCTCTTTGCAAAATTCTGCCTTCAGGACTGACAGTCTTCAAAGGCCCCACAGGACAGGCTAAGACAGGAGTGCTGTGTTTCTAAGGCCTCAGGAAAATATATCACATGGGTGCAGGTTTACTCCAACCATAATGGGAACTTGTCTGCAACTACCAGAGATGGTTTTTCTTCTCCTGCTCCAAATGGAAGGCAGTTAGGAAGGACTAAGCACTGGCCTGTGGGTTCCAGCACAGTCTTCTACCTCTGACAAGGCCCAGCTTCACGGGAGAGGTGAAGCCCATGAAACCTGTGTAGGAGCCAGGGCTGCTTAAATCCTGGGACATACTCTCCTGATGCATTTGATTTGGAGTTCAGCCCCCTCTGCTATAAATGTGATTAGTGTCTACCTTATAGGGTTGATGCAAAGTCTGAAGAAGACTAGAGTTCCAAAAACGCTTAGAAAAGTGGCTGGCATGTAGTAGATGCTCAATAAAGCTTTCCTTCCATCCTAAAGCCTATTGTGGCCAAAGTGTAAATGCTGGAGGTAGCACAGAATCTGTCCCAGGCAGGTAATACAGTGGTGAGAAGTGAGGGGAACAGGTAGGAATGAGCCCATGAGGAGAGATGAGACTTGCCTGACTCAAGGGTGCAGACCCCACCTAAAGGGACTCTGATGTTGTAGAAAATACCATGCCAGCCACACAAATACACCTCTGATCTGAATTCAGCCCATGGGCAGTGAGCTTGAACTCTGGAGAAGAAAAAAATATGAAAAACAAGGGCATATTCATAGCTATGAAACATTTCTAGCAACATAAAGTGAGCAATCAACCCCCTAGGCTTAGATTAGAGCAAGGCTCCATGCACACCTGCAGAGCCTGGGAGTGCTCCCTTGCACTCACACTCAAGGCTGTCCCTCTCCAGACACAACGCAGTGGGCTGGTCTTCCTTACTGCCCTGGATTAGATCACAAGTCCCTATTTCACATCCAGAAATACCCAGCCAGTCCTTACGTGGCAGTCACTAGCCAGTTGAAGACCTCCCCGCCGACCCAGTGAAAATGAAATCCTAAGCTGCTGTTTAAGCACAATGCCAAGCCCAACACTAATCATGCCCTGATGGAACATGCTTAGGAGCCTGGCAGAGGTCTGGTCTATCTAGTGCCCTGAATGATGGACATGATGGCAGCTGTGATCACAGACGCCACTCCAGGGCCCACATGAGAGTGCCGAGGTCAATTGGGCCAGAGGGCCAAAAGAGCCTGAGAATGTATCCAGCTCTCTGAAAACATACTACTAACTTTCCAGGGATCCTCACATACCTGGGTTATCCTTATAGTTCTTGCTTAAGTTCATGCAAAGCCATCAACAAGTGGTCCCGCAGTGGACATTTTTCCAGTCCATGCAGCGTCTTCCCTACCTAACCTGTGATTTTTTTAAATCCCCCAAAGCCACATCCTTGGGGTTCAGGGTCAACACCATGCAGATGCCAAGGCTATTCCATTCACCTCTGACTATCTACCAGGCCAAAGGACCTAAAGCAGCCAGATGATATGTTGCCCAAGCCGAAAAACATATTGCATTTACTTAGAAGCATTTTCTCCAAAGGGACTGGGTAGCTTACCACAAAGAACATATTTAATCAACTGGTACAACATAAATAAGGCATAATAAATTAGAGCCAGGGAAAAGTGAATACATTTGTACAAACCTAAGCATTAATGGACTTGACCTTCCCAGCAGTAAGAGCAAAAAGGGAAACACATTGTTACACTGATCACATTACCAGGAAGGAGGAAGCAGACATTCCCTAAATTCTGAAAGAGGTTCCTCCAAATTGTGTAATGGACAATTACTTTAACAGAAAAAAAAAAAGCTAACACTTCTTGAATGTCTACTACATGCTAGAAACACTGTGAGACATTTGCCATACAGGGTCCTCCCTGCCTGCATGAGCTCTTATTCAAATTAGAAGAAAATGCCCCAGTGAGGAAGGCCTGCTGAGCAGCAAGCAGTGTGCTGATGAAGTCCAGACTCACCTCCCAGCCATCCAGGTGCAGGATGCAACCTGCTCAGCTGCATGTGGCAACCCTGTTTACTCACATCCTCCTGGAACGCTTACAGTAACCCTCCAGAGACAATGGTTCCATTTTATATACAGAGAAATTGGGGCTCAGAAAGCATAAGTGTCTTGCCCAGTTCACAAAACCAGTAAGTGACAGCCCCATTCTCTGACTCTGCATGACTTGTTTCTTCTTGTAGGACCCTTGACAAGAGCTGAACTTTGTGTGTATGTGGTGGGGTGGGGGGCTCTAAAAGGGGCCTGTGAGCATAATAAAGGCCAAGGACATAGCTTTCTGGAGGTCTGGCTGCACACAGCTGAGGACCAAGGTTGTGAGTGCACAGAGGAAAGCCCTGCGTGAAACCTGTGTCCTCCAGCCCCCCTCCCATGGCCTCCAGTGCCCATCAGCATCATCTGGAGAGGTCTGACCACCACCTACCCTGTATCTGTGCATCTCCACCAGTGGGACCCAAGAGTGGTGAGGTCTTGGAGGTCCCCAAGTTTTCTATATAAAGAGATGAGGGTGTGTTCATTTGCTAGGGCTGCCATAATAAAATATCACAGACCAGGTAGCTAGATCAAACAACACAAATGTATTATCTCCCAGTTCTGGAGGATGGAAATCTGAGATTAAGGTGTCAGCAGGGCTGGTTCCCCTGAGGACCAGGAAGGAGGGATCGCTTCCAAGCCCCCCTTCCTGGCTTGTAGATAGCCATTTCTCTCTGTATCTTCACATCATCTTCCCTCTGTGTATGTCCTGAATACAAATGTCTCCTTTTCATAAGGAAATAGTCATATTGGATTAGGGTCCACCCTTATAACATCATTTTAATTTGATCATCTGCAAAGACCCTGTCTCCAAATAAGATCACATGCTGTGGTACTGGGGTTAGGATTCCAGCTTATCTTTTTGGGATGGGACATAACTCAGTCCATAACAGAAGGCTGCAGCACTGCTGTCCTTGGTGGAGGCAGACACTGGTCCACAGGGCTCAGGAAGAGGCCAGGAGGACAGGCAAAGAATGGGTCTATCCAGTGGCCTACTCCAAGTTACCTTCATCTGTTGCCAAAACAATTTCAGTAGCCTCCTAGCTGATCTTCACTCATGCACAATGGTTACCTTCTATCCAGGCTCCACACAGCAGCCAGAATGAACTTTTCAACCAAAACACAAATTTGATAAAAGCAGTCACTGCTTAGAAGCCTTCAATGACGGTTCATTAGTCTCAGGGGAGAGAGCAAAGCCATTCCATCCTCATTACCTTCCAAATATTGGATTGGTTCCTGGAACGCTCTCCCCTTCCTCCTTCCCCACCTGGGACTTACCTAGACCTGATAACAATGAATTTCTCTTACCCGTCAGACCCCAGCTGGATGGGCTTCTCCCCAGGGTGGGATTCCCCCATGCCCATCTCCTGTGCCACCCACAGCCCCTGTTGGATAGTGTCAGGGCTGTTTTGCTCACCTCTGGGCCCCTACTCCTAGGACAGTGCCTGGCATACGGCCAGTGCTCAGTGTTTGTTAAGTGAAGAAACAGTGGGACTGTGATGCCTTATCCTGCAGTAGGAGTTTTAGATACAAGGAAACTTATGTTTCCATATAATAGATGAGAAACTGTCTGTCTACAGAAATGACTTGTCCAAGGTTGCACAGCTAATGCCATTTGATTCCTGATGCTGAGCTCTCAACCGCAAATTTCTGGTTCCCCAAGCTGGGGCTGGGACAGATCCAAGTCCTCCTTCTGCAGCATCTCCGGATGTTTCCTGGCCAGCAGACAAACCTCCCTGCTCCTTCTTCCCTATGGAAAACACACTCGTGTTCCCATATGAGGCCCTGGGGTGAAGGGTTGGTAAGAGAGTAATAAAGAAAACAGCAAAGAGTGCTGGCTGTCCCCAAGTGGGGTCAGAAACAGGGATGTGTCTCCTACATGCATTGTAATGAATTGAGGCCCAAACTTGGAGCCTCAAGATAACTCCTCAGACCCTGCATCTGCTTCTTAATAGAAACAGGAACTTATGAGAGTCACATGGCTTCTCTGTGCCCTGCTTTCCTCCTCTGTAATACATGAGAACAATGAAGCCCATTTCACAGTGAGGATTTGGGAAATTATGAATACATAAATGTCTAGATTGATGCTGGTCACTGTGGGCACCCAGGAAGTGACAGCTATCTCTTGCCTTCCTCCCAGGTGAGCCGTAGCTTGGACAGCCTCAGCGTGGAGGGGCCACTAGCTCCCAATGAAGCCATAGGACAAGGTTGCATGTGGGGATTCACCTTGGTAGCTCACAGCCCGACAGAGGCCCATGAGCACAGAGAGTTGGGAACTGACCAACAGGCTCCAGGCTCTGACCCAGGCCCTGGAAGAAATGCACCACCAGCAGCCAACAGCAATGAATATGCCCCTCCTGCCATAGCAGGTCTAACCCACACCTCTTCAGGCACAAGCTTTCAGTCTGACACACAAGCTGCCAGGACAAGACCTGTTTGGTTTTGCTCTATTTTATGCCTTGAAATATGCAGGCAAAGGACACGAACTGCAGTCACTCCAGGGAAAAGCCTTCGCAGATCATCAGCCTTTGTAGAAGGGAATCTGGAAGCAGCTGGCTGCCAGGGATGCTAACTTCACAAGGGCTACAATGCCTACTTGGCTTTTGATGGGAGCCCAGCAGCCACTAGGAACCTTGGCAAAGGACTTAATGTCGGCCTCCTTCAAATGTACATCAATGTTCATCCAAGCTCTGCCTTCTTGCCCCGGGCTCTCTGGCAGGCTGATGTCCTTACCCTCAGATGCACACATCTGAAAACTTTGTCTAAAGCTTCCCTTTCCTTCACCATTGCTCTCCGTCTTTCCCCACTCCCACTGCCCCTTTGATTCCTGTGTTAGTTCAGTGGGTCGTTCATTCACTAGATGCTCCAGGCACCTACTATGTGTCGGATGCTGTTGCAGGCATGGAGAATAGAGCTGCAGCAAAACACACATAGCCTCTTTTGTTACAAATGCCAACCACCCACTTAACATATGAAACAATGTCAAGTCATGACAAATACGATGAAGTCAGGCGGGAGAGGGACCAGGGAGAAGGAGGAGTGTGCTACTTCAGGCAGGGTGGTCAGGAAAGGCCTCTGTGATGAGGCAGCATTGTGCAGCAGCACCAAGAAGGCAAGGAAACCAGCCATGTGGGAATCTGGGCAAAGAGTGAGAGTGATCCAATGACAGGGAACAGCCAGTGCAAAGGCCCTGAGGTGAGCGCTTGTTTGGCATGTTTGATAACCAAAAATAAGGCTCCAGGTGAGTCTGGGGAATGAAGTTGGAGACCAGGACAGATGGAAAAATGGCCATTTAGTGAGGGCCTTGAAAGTGATGAAAAGGGCTCTTGCCACAAAAAAAAAAAAAAAATTGGGTAAACTATGTGAGATGATGAATGTGTTAATTTACTTGGCTATACAGTAGCCATTTCACTATTTGTATGTATAGCAAAACATCATGTTGTACACCTTAAATATATACTTTTATATTAAAAAAAAACTTTGGATTTTATTTTATGAAACAAAGGCCACTGGAAGCATTTTAAGCAACAGTGATCTGACTTATACTTAAGAGGATTAGACCAGGTGCTATATGGAAAATTGACTCAAGGGGTCAAGGGTGAAGTGCAACCATCCCGAGGACGCCTGTGGCCATTGTCCATCAGGTGAGAACCAAGGGTGAATGGGGAGTATTGCGGGAGTATTGCAGGGGAGGAGGTGGGGAGGGGACCCATGGTGAGCCCAGCCCGTGGCAGCTCTGTGATGTGGGATAAGTTGGGACATCTCTGAGCCTCAGTGTCTTCCTCTATACAGTGAGAGCAATCCCAGTATCACATGGGTATCCAGTAGGAGCATAACAGATAATGTATGCAAAAAGCTGTGCACAGCACCTGACTCATATCAGGACCTCAGCAAAAGTGACTTTCTTTCCCCATCCGCTATCATCTCTATGTTTTGGGAAGAACTTTTTCCCTAAGTGGCTATTGTCACTGAAAAAGAAACTCCCTCAGCCCAAGTTTCTCAGCAAGGGCAACCCACAGGCAAAAACAGGAAAACTCAAGAACCTCTTAAATCAAGACTGTAAAAACCTGCATAAAAAAGACAACCTGGCACTTTTATGGCTCCCTAAAAACACTTTAGAAACCTACATGGCATTTCCTCTCAAGACCCTCTATTGTTGATCCAATTAGCCAATTTGGGGCCCAGAAACACACAAATTTCTGGAAACTGGAGTGTGGAAAGCTGCCTGAGTGGAGAGCCAGCCATGGCCTGGACACAGGTCTCTGCCGGGGAAGCAGGTGGGCAGCCTGCTCCTGAGCCCACCCACCACCTTGTCTGAAGTGAGGATGACCGGACAGCCTCTGTTGAGTTCATGAGTAAGGAAATGGAGTCTCTGTCACACGTGCTGGTTGGCCCTGGACCTGGTATAAGATGTAGTCCAACCAGAAAAGCTGGGGGAGCCACTCACAGAAGGCCCAGAGGGGAAGAAAGGAGTGAGGCACATGTGCAGATTTATCTGGTGAGATTATGCTACGTGTCCACTGCCCACTGCACGGGACCCCAGCCTTGAGCAGGCTCCACCCGGCCCTGTGGTAACTCCCCAGTTCACAGTGCTGCACAATCCCGGAAATTAGCCTAGTTAATTTTTGCAACTTCCCTTTAAGATGAACAGGGTGGAAATGATTATCACATCTTAAAGATGAGAGAACTGAAGTTCAGGCAGGGGATGTGGCCTGGAGACTTGAACAGAAGGGACTTCCTTCTGAGACCACCCACAAGTCCCAGTTGCCCATCCTCTCCTGGGCCAGGGTGTCACATCCAGGGTTATCAGAGCTGAATGAGCCTCAGGCCCTGTGGATGGTGAGTAGGAACTGGCCAGGCCAAGAAAGCTCCCATAGAGTCTCCAAGGCAGGCCCCAGATGCTCCTCAAGGCTGCACTCCATTGCTCAGGGGCTCTCCCTCCCCAAGCCCTGGTCAAGGGAGGGAGGACCAAGACTCACCATGGGGTCATGAGCTTGGGGGTTGCTAAAGAAAAGGCCCTTTCTTTTCAGGCTTCACCTCACAATATCATTCTCTCCCATGCCCACAGGACGCTCACCCTCATCATGGCCAGCTGAAGTCCTCCTCATACCTGCTCCTTCCCTGCTCCTCCATCTCCTCTGGACACGTGAGTGTCAGCCTGTCTCCTCCCCACCCTGGCGACTGGACTTCAGGAATGTAATCTGAATCCAGCCCTCCTCTCCATCTCTCCTCCATGACCTCCCAGCAGCCTCCTCACCTCTCCCTGCACCACAGAGAGAGGCTCCAACCCATCTCCCTGGCTTCATCCCTGCCTGCTCATCTCCCTTACTTTCTCACAAGGCTCCTAATAGGTGTCCTGTGCCCCTGAGCCCCCAATCTGGGGGCCTCAGTAAAGACCTGGAACCACTCAACATGGAACGAGAAAGAGACATAACAGTTCTCCTTCCTCTAGACTCTCTCCAGATTAAGCCCAAGGGTCTCCTTCAAGGCCAAGCCAGCAGGCAGGGTGGGAGATTCTAGTCTCCATCTACCACCTGGCCACCTGGGGCCAAGGCATGAGCTGCTTATGTCAAGAAAGCACCCTGGGTGCTGAGAGGTCTGGGCGGGAGAGCCTTCTCCCACGGCTGTGCTGCTCCCCAGCACCTGCAGGCAGGTGGAATGGGCCTGTGTCCAGGACCTGGAGCTGGGAGAGGTGGGCAGGAAACTCACGCTAGTGAATAGAAGTGCAAGGAGCCTTGGTCCTGGCCAAATCCCAGCATATCCCAGCACCTGGAAAGAAACATCAGAGCAAAACGGCCCTCAGAAGCTCTTTCAGACACCAGAAGGATGCAGGCAGAGAGGCTCAGGAAGGGGAAGGGAGTGTCCTTCACAAGCAACTGATCAAGACTCCTAGTCCCCTGACAAAAGCACATAGGTACATTCACAGCCCCCACCTTGAGTCCCAGGAGCAAACCATGGGGCACTGGAGCACCTGGTAGGAGCCCCAGTGTTGAGAGTCCTCTGGCTCTTAACACTCTGACTCTTAATTCAATTAGCCCTGATTAACACTCTCTTGGGTGCCAAGCGCTAGGTGATGCTTACTCATTTACACCAGGGTTTCTCAACCTAGCACTACATTTTGGGCTGAATAATACCTTGTTGTGGAGGGTTGACCTCTGCATTGTAGGATTTTTAGCAGCATCTCTGGGCTCTACCCACTAGATGCCAGTAGCATCCCAACCCCCCAGCTGTAACAACCAAAAATGTCTCCAGACATTGCCAAATGTTGTCTGGGGAACAAAATTGCACCCAAATTAGAACCACTGGCATACACCATTTAATCTTCACAATAGTAATAGATGTTTCTATCTCAAGTTGCCAAGTGAGGAAACTGAGACTCGGAGAGGGTTCATTGACTTGCCCAACGTCACTAAGCAAGTAGCCATATTCATGTTTGAGCCCAGGCCACTCTGATTGAAAGTCCAGGGCATTTTCTGCCATAAAACTCTATTTCCTGATGCAAAGATCAACACTAAGTGGCTGCCCACCTCGGTCTCCCCCAACTGTAAGCTAGCAGGTGACACCTGAATTTGATCGATAAATTAGGAGCAGCCCCTGTGAATCTAACTAGACGGTCACCTTCAGAGGCCAGAAGCAGGGTTTACCGCATGGTACATGAAGCTCATGGGGCAGGCTCTCCTTGTAGGAGCCACTAGCCATCCTGGAACCCCAGATGCAGCAAGAACCTACATCTGGGTTCCCAGGATGGCCTCTCAGTGCCTAAGGAGCATCTGAAATGCTACCTGCACTCACAGTCACCTCCTGGTTGGGCAGCTGTCTCCCCTGTATGTCCCCACTGAGATCCCCTCTGGTCAGGCCATCTTTCTACTGGACCTCAACCAACACCTGGGGGTGGTGGGGGTCCCATGTCTAGACCATGGCCCCATTGGATCTCCCGGATCTGGCTGCCTGGCCCACAGGGAGAGGCAAAAGAACAACTCAGCTGTTGGCTGTGTTGTTTCCCCAAAGTCAAGTTAGAGATGCAAGGCCTGGTCTCTTGGTACAAATCCTGACAAATTTGGAATATGTGGTTTCATCTCTCAGAACATGAATTCACTCCTCCAAAGAAGAAAAATATTAATACCCACCCCACAGGGATGTGGTGGAGACAAAGCAAGAAGTTGGAGGCTAAATGCCTGGCACAATGTCTACTGCATTCAAGGTGCTCAATAAATCCTGTTTAATAAAATTCTGTAGCACTAAGCACAACGAGGAGGGAAGTTCTGCATGCCTCCCAGGTGTTCGTAACTTACGGATGGATTGGGTGGATGCATAAATGTACGCTAAGAATTCCACGGTAAGTCAGTCTCCCATATTTGAAGCAGCCCAAATTTAACCAAGAAAAACCTGAAAGGTAATGAAGTTGTCTCAGACCGCTTTTGTCTTAAAGGCAACTACCTGCAAATAGCAAGCCCAGAATGTTTCCAAATGAGATGCCCTGGGAGAGCCCTTGATGGGCACTGGAGCAGTCAGTCCAAGAGGAAGAAAATAATAATAATCCAGTTTGTTGTCTGAGACATTTGTCTGTGCATTCTGCTGGGGAAATTGTGTTAGTTGCAGAGACAGGCCTGATAGGAGGCCAGCTGGGAAGAGCATCACGTAACAATCAGGTAAATACAGCAGCAGGAAGGAGCCTGCATCATCGCCAGACCCCAACTGCAACCTGCCTCTCCCGCCAGCCACATTGGAGAAGGGAGTGGTCTGAGCAGGCAAGAGCAAGTCTGTGCCAGGCCCACAGAGGTGAGGAAAGAGACTGAGATGCCAGGCTTCCAAAATGTGCCCTGGCTGCCTGGTCAGCTCAGCCTGCATCTGCTCCTATGTCTAAGAGAGGTGCAACATTCATTTACTCACCAAGTGTTTGCAGAGCTCTAGTTCCAAAGAATGGTTCTAGATACTGAAGATACTGCAAAGGACAGCACAGATAGAGCTTCCTTCTCTTATGAAACCCAAGTGGAGTGTTATAAAGAACCAGAGTCTGTTCTGCTCTGTTCATTCCACAGATGGCCCCATTCAGCACTCTCAGAAGCAGCAGCTCCATCACAACCACTACAGCTCCCAGCCTCAGGCACTGACTCCTAAGTGAGGATCCCAGTCTAAGCTGCAGATGAGTCAGGACTTTCCTGCCCCACCCTAACCAGCTCCTCCCCATCTAGGACCAGACTGAAGGCTGAAGGGGACACCACGGGCACCTAGCAGACCCCAGGGCAGCCTCTCCATGCCCAGGGCTCAGAGTTGCCCCAGCTTGCCAGCCACCCAGCCCAGTAGCCTCAGGGGTATCTTCAAAGCCTACCCTGGATTGAGTCACGGTCCCCACCTTGAACAGCCTGGACTGCCAGGATCGACCGGCTGGTCCTCACCTTGGCTGAGATGCCTCCCTCACAAGAGGCCTTACCTCCCCTCCCCCAGTCTCACCTCCCACCTCCCACTCTCACTTCTTCCCATAGCCAACCTAATCACCCTCCCAGCCTTACCTCCTCCAAGCCTTACCTTCCCCCTAGCTATATCTTCCCCCCAACCTAATTACCCCCCAGCTTTACCTGCCCCCCAGCCTTATCTCTCCCCAAGCCTTACCTTCCCCCTAACCTAATCACGCCCCCAGCCTTACCTTCCCCCTAGCTATACCTTCCCCCCAACCTAATTACCCCTTTCCCTGCCAGCCTTACCTCTCCCCAGCCTCACCTCCCCTACAGCCTTACCTGCCTTACCTGCTCCTACCCTTACTTCCCCTGCAGCCTTACCCTGCTCTACTCCAACATATCCCTTCGTCCCTCTGGTCCTTGGCACCTCCACTTCCTTCTTTCCAGAATCCAGGATGCTCCTCCCATGCCAGTGCCCTTTTCCCACATTCTCACCTTTTGCCCCAAGTTTGAGTAGTGCTTCCTCAGGGGCCTTCCTATACCTTGCATCTGAATGGGGTCCCCCAGCAACACCATTTCACATCTTCACATCCTCACCTTTTTCTTCATAGACATCATAATTTGTGACTCTTCAGTGTGACTGAGCCATTTTTTGTGTAATGCCTACCTCACCTCTAGCTGAAAACTCCATGAAAGTGGGTAATCATCAGGTTTGTCACCACCAAATCCCCTGTACCTAACACAGAGACCCGCATTAAATTCCAGCTCAAAAACAGAAGACCTGCTGAATAGAAATGAATATCTGGCATGCCCCCTCCATCTCCAATTATTCATCTTATTCCTACTCATCCCTCACAACTCAGCTCAAGTGTTGCCTCCTCTTCTGACTTCCACCTCCTGCTGGATTTAAGTGACCCCACCCCACTCCCCACTACTCTCCCAATACCCTGCATTTTCCTCTATTGTTGCAGGTGTCACCCTGAGACCCAATCATTGATTAATCTGTCTGATCCTCAGGGGCAGAGGTGGCTTCATTGTACTTTGTGTCCCCTACCCTTCACACAGAGTCTGGCAAAAGTCCAGTGAATGTTGCATGAATGAAATATAAGGATGAATTAAGTAAATATGTAGGGAAGCTTTTTTCAGTCACTTCAGTCTAGAAGCTCTGTAACTACTGGCAGAGGCTCTGTGATCAAATGAATCATTTACAAGAAGAGAAGTAACATTTTCACACTTGCCTGAAAGTCTGCTCCCCAACCTGGGCCTTCCTAGACCCCTGGGCCTAGGGGGACTAGGGAATGACTTTAAGCAGAGAAAGTGTGATCCTCTCAAGGTCACCGTTGCCCATAGGGGATGAACAGCTCAAGCACTAAGTTCCCGGGCCTCGGCTGTGGGTTTCTGTCCCCGGGGTGGCTGAGCCACAGGTTGGTGGTGTGGCCTCTAGATGCACGTGGGTATGGGCGCAGGAATCTGTAGGGACTTCACAACCAAAGCCACTTTGACCAAGGGATGCTATCTGTTTATACAACTTGGGAGGATTTTTAACATATCCCCAGGATTTCTTTTAATCAAGGATGGTGAGATACACAGACACAGAAATGACTCCCATGAAGGAAGAAGTCTGTTGTGGTCACAGAGTCACAGATCCCTAGAAAGAGGAGGCAGGGCACACCTTTTGGGGCCACATGGGGAAGCCCCAGGGTGAGTCAGGTCACAGGGAGCAGGAGGAAAATGTGGACAAGAGCTTTTTGTGCGGTTTGTGAGGGAAGAAACAGGAGAGGCGGATTACGCAGGTTTAGGATTGGCTGGTGTGAATAATTCTAGCAGGCTCTGGGTGTTAGGGACTATCGAGAGTTGCCTGCTACCTGGCACTGGGGTGATCAGGGCAGGGGAACAGTGGCTTGGCCAGTGAGAGTTCCACAAAGGCTGTTGTTGGAGTCATTGGCTTTGGACAGGTTGTTTGGCATGCAAAAAGTGTGTCACAGGTGGGTCATTTGCTGTCTGTAGGAATTAGCTTGCCCTGAGGGGAAGGCTTTCCCTGGTCAGTAAAGCTCCAAAATGTCAAAGCATCCTAAAATCTGGGGAATCAAAAACATGATTAATACAGAGGGGTCCACAGCAGGGGTCCACCCACTGGCCACGGACTGGTACCTGCATTTTCCTCTGTTGAACCCAATAGAGGTACCAGTCCATAGCCAGTTAGAAGCCGGGCCACACAGCAGGTGGTAAGCATCAGGCCAGTGAGCAGGACCACCTGAGCTCCGCCCCCTGTTCAATCAGCATCGGCATTTGATTCTCACAGGACTACAAACCCTATTGTGAATTAAGCATGCGACAGATCTAGGTTGTGCACTCATGAGAATCTAACTAGTGCCTGGTGATCTGAAATGGAACAGTTTCATCCTGAAACTAGCCTTCAACCCCCACTGGTCCGTGGAAACATTGTCTTCCACGAAATCTGTCCCTGGTGCCAAAAAGGCTGGAGACCGCTGTTCTACAGGAAGGGAAAAGAAAGCATGATTTTCATCTAACTGCTAGGATCTGACAGTTTATATCTCTGCAAAATTTACATGTTGAAATCCTAACTCCCAAGACGATGGTATTAGGACATGGAACCTTTGGGAGGTGATTAGTTAAAGAGAGTGTATCCCTCATAATGAGTGCCTTATAAAAAGAAGCCCCAGGTTGCTCCCTTGCCCCTTCAGCCCTGTGAAATTACAGCAAAAAGACAGCCGCCTGTGAACCAGGAAGCAAGCCCTCACCAGATTCTGAATCTGTCTGCACTTGGATCTAGGACCAGTCTCCAAACTGTGAGAACTAAATTCCTGTAGTATATGAGCCACCAAGTCTATGGTATTTTTGTTATAACAGTTCGAACAAACAAGACACCTTTGCAAATTATTCAAAAACATGACCTGTTGATCACATTGCCTTAGAAGGAACCCAGGCAAGCAAATGGCCCTGAAACTTAGGCATCGTTAGCTTCACAATACACTCATCTCTGCTCAGCAGAGAAGAAATAGCCCTTCACGTGACACCAGTAAGCCAGTAAATGAATTTTATTCTTACACTCAACAGGTATTTATCAGTGGCCTAACAGATGCAGAGCTTGTATGAGGCTCAGGGGGAATAAGTGTGATCAAGGCAGGAATGATCTGCCTTCACACAGGACTCACTTAAAGGAGACAATATGCAGTGAAACAAGGAATTCAACAAATACGTGATAGGTGCTAAGACAGAAACATAGAAAACAAATCATGAGAGACGACAGCCTTTCAACCGAGGTGCCCTTAAGAAAAACCACAAGGAAGCAGCCAAAACCTTTCCAGGAAACCAGAAGATCATGTGCAAAGGCCATGGGGCTCGAAGAGCTCAGAGTGCTGAGGAAGGAAGGAAGAGAGGTCCCCTGCAAGTGGAGAGAGGTGGGCACCCTGCAAGTGGAGAGAGGTGGGCAGTAGAATGCATGGAGGCCTCTAAAAGGAGCTTGGGTTTTATTTTAAGTTGAATGGAACACCTTTGAGAAGTCTGAAACAGGAAGTGATGTGCTCACATTTATTATAATTAGTTTGTTAGACAATCGGAAACCAATAGAATAAAAATATAAAGACTTTTTTTTTCCTTCAGTCATTATCCCTGGTCCCAGAATGATACCCATAACTTTAAGGTCACTTTTAATCATTAAAAAGTTCATGTTCATTTTACCCCATTTAATGCTTACCTCCACTGTCCCCCAAGGCATGGGTAACCTTTGTTCTGGGGTAGGAAGCACGATCTTGTACCAAGATTCCTCTTGCGCCCTCCCTGCTCCTTGGAGCCTCCACTCCTCTGACCCATGAGGGAAGGGGGCAAGAGTAGAGAGATGCCCAGAGTTGCCTGATTGTCTGTGGATGAGGTGAGGTCCCTGGCTTCCTTCTGGCTGGGTCTAGTTCCTTACGATGCTGGTGGATCCACTGATTGAATGTAGAATACAAGGGAAAGGGGGAGATGTGGATGATTTCTATTTTGGACTCAAGCAACCAGCTGCCTGTAGAGTCATTCTGAGAGGTGGGCAAAGTAGGGGAGGAGCAAAGTAGAGAATTCTTTTTGGGATATGCTAAGGCCAAGTTGCCTGTGAAACATCCAGGTGGATGCGAAGGCTCACAGGAAAAGCCTGGGCTAGAGGCTAACATTTGGAGTAGATTAATGTGCAAGTACTTGAAGCCATTGGTGGAGATGAGACCACCAAGAAAGGAGGGAAGAGACAGAGAAGAGGTGCGGGACTGCCCCTCTGGGGAGGTGGACAGTGGGAGTTTGGGCAAGAAAGAGGAGCCTGCGAAGGAAACTGCCAAGTCAGGAGGGCTCTGGGCTGATGCTGATATCATAGACCAAAGAAGCAAATGTGTCAGGAGGCAGTGCTTCACTGTGTCAAATGTCACCAAGGTGGCAAGGAAGAGGGGAAAGAGCAGAAAATTGGAAAATAGGAAGATGGTTAGCCCTGACAAAGGTCATTTCAGGAGAAGGAGGGTGAAATCAGTAGACAAATTGTGGCGGGTGGAAAATCAGACAAAAGGAGAGAAAACAAAATCAGGAGAAACAGAGCAATCACTGAAAGGGGATGTGGAAAATGTGGGAGGAGGGTTGCTTTCTTAGATTAAATGTTCTAAAACAAGTTTCTAGGCAGAGCAGCAATGCAGGAGTGGATAGGAAGAGATCAGTAATGCAGAAGAGAAATGTGGAAAAGAAAAGGCAAAATCCTAGAGGGGAAATTGGGATGGATTCAGGGCAGGGGGCAAGTGGCTGTTGCAAGAACACTTACTTCCCTGGGTGTGACAAGATGGGGCAATGAGCCAGCTGGTGCAAGTGCAGGTGGGCTTGACTTTGGAGATGGGAGATGAGGGGGCTCCCATCTGATGGCTAAATAAGGAGGGAGGAGGAGGAGGGGTTGAAAGGAGAAGACAAAGCATGGAAAAGGGGTTTAGGGAAGTACAGTGCAAGCCATGGAGATTTGTGAGGAGCAATACCAAGGAAGACCAGCACCCTGGCTTTGTCATTTTCTACAGCAACACTCAGCACTCAGGCACAGGTATGCAAAAGAGGATGGTCAGGCTTAGCTCATGTGGGAGTTTTGCCTGGTGAATATCACAAAGAAAAGGGAACAGGAAAATTGAGTAGGCAAGGGAGAGATTATTATGGGTCAGTATCTTGAAGCCTCACTAAGAAGACATGAAGATAAGGGTTTTGTGAAAACATGTGGGGTTGGAGGTCTCACTAGGAGGTCACTGGGCATGAGCCAGATTGGAGGTGGGAGGAAAGAGTGAGCCAGAGTGTTCAGGGAATGATAACAGAGGGGACAGAGCTGGCAGTGAGGATGAGGAGAGGTGGGGGGGGAACAAATGGTAAGAGCTAGAATAAGCTAGAAAGAACTAGAAAGAGGCCAGGCACAGTGGCTCACGTTTGTAATTCTGGTGCTTTGGGAAGCTGAGGCAGGAAGAGTGCTTGAGCCCAGGAGTTCAAGACCAGCCTAGGTAACATAGTGAGACCCTGTCTCTAAAAATAATAATAATAATAATGAGCAGGGCATGGTGGCGTGCACCTGTAGTCTCAGCAACTTGGGAGGCTGATGCAGTAGGACTGCTTGAGCCCAGGAGCTTGAGGCTGCAGTAAGCTATGATTGCACCACTGCACTCCAGCCTGGGTGACCAAGTGGGACCCTGTCTCTAAAAAATAACAATTTTAGAAGTTTTTAAAAGAGCTAGAAAAAGATAGGGTGGTGCAGGAAGGGAAAGAAATGGTTTGCAGGAGATAAAGAAGATAATATAAAAAGGACACCTCCTGAGGGACACGGAATGTGAAGGGAATAAGACTTTCAACTTGACAGGCTATCCCCAGAGGACAACCGGTTTGAGTTAAGGTAAGTAAGGTAAGAGAAGAGGAGGAGGCCAGGGTATTTGCTGGCCTCAGAACAGCAGGTACAGAGGACAAGGGGAGGGATGTGGGAGAGGACAGTGGGCAGAATCTGTGCAGGTGCAGGGGCAGCTTTGGCCAAGGTAAGCAAGGCAGTAGGATGGGAGCTGGCAGATGTGTAGTGGGGAGCAGGCCTCTAATTCTCCGATCAATGGTATGGGCCATCCCAGGACACTGCCTCACATAGGCAAGCCACAGTGCAAGGGTCACTTGTATGTGTAAATATTAGCAAATATTTTAAAAGCATGGACATTTATATCAATCAAATGGGGTCAGGGAAGCAATTAGTGTTGGAAACCCACTGGTCCTAGGACCATTTAATCCTCCTACTGTCCCATTTAATCCTCCTACAAGTCTGCAAAGGAGCTACTACTGCTCCTACTCTATACACAAGGAAAAGGTTTAGAGAAACTAGGTACCCCAGCCAGGGCCCATGACTAGTAATAAGAGAAGAAGAAGGAGAAGAAAATGATGAAGAGCACCATTTAAATTTACTTAGCATTTTACTTCATGTGAGCCTATGGCTAATTGCTTTTACATGAATTGTCCTATTTTATCCTAATGACAAAACTGTAAAGTAAAATTACATTATATACCCATCTTATAGACAGGAGAATT
Organism: Homo sapiens; assembly: GCF_000001405.40. NCBI lineage: Eukaryota > Metazoa > Chordata > Mammalia > Primates > Hominidae > Homo > Homo sapiens. The sequence continues at coordinate 85,993,818 of NC_000010.11, forward strand.
GTGCCTAGGAGAGTAATGAGACTCGCCCAAAATCAAAGCCAGGGACCCCTTTCCGTCTCTGATGATGTTCAGTAGATGATGTTTCCTTGCATGGCAGCCTGACACAGAAGTCATGTCCAAGCCCTGTCAGGCAGCTGTCCCATCAAATAACCAGTTTAAATATGGAGCAGGTGCCCCTTCCACGGAGATGGACATTGCAACTTTTAACCTTGTTGGACTCCTGCCCTGCTGAGCCATCTTCCCTGATGAACCAGCTAATCAAACATGTCCTGGGCCAGGAGCTGCAAACGGCTTTGATTTTTCAAACACACCAAACAACAGGAAAGAAAAATGAGCAAACCAGACCCAGAAAGAGGCTTGACCCAATGCCTCCAAACAGCTCTTCCAGCTCAAGAAACAGACCCTCCATCTGGGTTTACAGATGCTGTGCAGTGACCCACAGCATGGCAGCCTGACCTGCCGGGTCTGCTGTGAGGATCCCACAGTGTCAGCATCTGTGAGTGGACAGAGGTAAGGCAGGGTGCTTTCCAGAGGACAAAGCTCACCTGGCATCAGGCCAACTTGAGATTAAAATTGTTTAAAATCCAGCCCATTAACAGCCAATAATCTCAATCCTAGCACCCGACATCTCTGCCCTTAAATCACACACCTGGAATTAGATGCTGGGGACCACACAGAACCCTAGCTGCCCACTTCAGTGATAACCATAAAACTGGCCAAACCCAAGGGATGCTGGGAGGCCCTGAAATGAAGAAATAGAGGTCCATTCTGGTTGGAATATGGATACACACATGCTGCCACTTATTGGTGAGCTGTTAGATACTCAGCACGTGATTACGCAGTTGTGGCAGTGGACAGAATGCTGGGGTCCCCCAGCTGGTCGCCTGGTAGTCCAGAAACCATGGCTGTAAACTCATCTCCAGCTGTCAGAAAAGAGTAGGTAAGATGGCCTATGCTTTTACAGAGACAGCCTACTATGGACCAGAATTCCCTACTTTTGAATTCAGTTTAAAGGTTATTGAAGCAATCAAAAGCACCTAATATATAAAATTTATTGAGAATGCAAGACAGAATCTTTAGTCAAAATGCCATTTGGCTTATATTTTTAAACATTTCCACCTGGCTGAAACAACTGCAAATGTAAAATTAACCTTCATAGACACTGTTTGCCTTCACATGCTTACTATAAATGTTTTTAAAGGCACATAGTTGAGTTTTATGTTCTTTCCATTTATTTTCATGTTAGACTTGCGGATTTTTATGTTAAAAGTTATTTTTCAGAAGTGGAACCCTGCACCTATAGAAAATAATGCTACAGCCATAGAAAATAGAAGCTTCTCTTATAACAATTCAACTTAAAGGCATTATTCAGGAACAAAGTCGTTTCCAATAATCTATCACTAGTCGTGGAACTTTGATGGGACGGCCACCTATCAGCAATCCTGTATTTTATTTCTGGGTAGAGCAAGTGTCCTAAGAGAATCCTGGAAAGAGAGGAAGTTCCCAACTAGCAGGCAGCCGGATGCCTCTGCTCCCAATCTGTTGGCTCTGCCTTAGTTTTCAGGGTCTCCAGCCTTAGGGGTGAGGAAGAGTTTCGGACCCCCACTCACATGACTCCATAAAAACTATGCAAGGGGAAAATGTTCCCCAGTTGACTAGGTGTGCATGTCTGATTAAGGAACACTGACTAGGTGTAATGGAGTAAGAGCACCCACCATGATTCTCCCCTGAACATAGTCATAAAACCTGGACAGAATGCATGTGGCAGCTATTCAAGGAGTCTGATGAGTAAACATGAGCAGGCAGATAGGAGAAGAAAACAAGAATTCAAAGAATACCAAACTGGCTGTAAGTTTACCAAGCTTTTATCCTCTAACCCTCTTGACCCCTTGCCCTAGAGGCAGATGCAGCCACAAAAGTGTGCAGCAGAGCAAGAACTCCAAAGCCACAGCTGATTGGAGAACCATCAAAGAGTCCCTCAGAATAGGAAAAGAGTGAGGATGTCACAGAGAAGGAAAATCTCAGGAAAGCAACTCTAACAAGCGGTTTATGAAGTCCTGGGCTCACTCCTGAGCTGCTCATACGTGGATAGGATTCTAATCAGTATATAAAAGCTGTGAATAAAAGATAAAAGACAGATTACCATTAGGTTCCAGACTGGCCACTGGGTGGCACACACACCAGAATGATTAGAAGAGCACGGCAAATGCTTTCAAACCTGAGCTGACATTGGTAACAGCCCACAGGCAACATGCTGGAGCTTGTGGCCTGAACTTAACCTGCTAAAACAAAAATATCAACACCTTTCACAGAATGTAAGTGAAACCAAGAGTCATAATATTCAAAATTCCCAAGATAAAATCCAAAATTGCTCAGAATAAGAACAAGCAAAATCTAAACTCACATGGGAAAAGATAATCAGCAAACATCAACCCAAAGATGACGTGGATGTAATTTTCTGGCAAAGGCTTTAAAGTAACTATTATAAAAATGTTCCAACAAGCAATTGTGAACACTCCTAAAAGAAATGGAAAAATAAAAAGTCCCAGCAAAGAAATACAAGAAACTTTTAAAAAACCAAATAGGAATGTTATGCTGAAGTATACAATAACTAAAATTTAACAACAAAAAAAATTTCACTGGATGGGCTCAATGAAGAACGATGATGACAGAGGAAAGAATCAATAAACTTGAAGACACATCAATAGTAATGATTCAGTCAGAACAAGAGAAATATATTTTTAAAAATGAACAGAGCATCAGGGACCTATGAAACAAAAACAAAAGATCTAATATTTGTGTTATCAGAGCAACCAGTCTTGCCAACATGGTGAAACCCTGCCTCTACTAAAAATATAAAAATTAGCCAGGCATGATGGTGGGTGCATGTAATCCCAGCTACTCAGAAGGCTGAGGCAGGAGAATCGCTTGAACCCAGGAGGTAGAGGTTGCAGTGAGCTGAGATCATGCTATTGCACTTCAGCATGGGCGACAAAAGCGAAACTCCATCTCAAAAAAAAAAAAAAGAAAGAAAGAAAGAAAAGAAAAGGAAAAAACTGAGAAATAATGGCTTAAAACTTATCAAATTTGTTGAAAGACAAAAATCTATAGATTTAAGAAGTTCTGCAAACCCAAACAGAATAAAACTAAAGAAACCCAAGTTCAGACAAATCACAATTAAACTGCTAAAAACTAGAGACAAAGAAAAAAATCTTGAAAATAATAAAGTCTATATACAATAGATTCTTCTCCTTTTGAGTTCTCTAAAACATGTGATAGCTAAAAGTAAAAACCATAACATAAGCTGGGAATGGTGGCTCACGCCTGTAATCTCAGCACTTTGGGAGGCCGAAGAGGGTTGATCACAAAGTCAGGAGTTCAAGAGATGCCTGGCCAAGATGGTGAAACCCCATCTCTACTAAAAATACAAAAATTAGCTGGGTGTGGTAGTGGGCACCTGTAATCCCAACTACTCGGGAGGCTGAGGCAGAGAACTGCTTGAACCTGGGAGGTGGAGGTTGCAGTGAGCCAAGATCGCGCCACTGTACTACAGCCTGGGCAACAGAGCGAGACTCCATCTCAAAAAAAAAAAAAATTATAACATAGTTGGATAAGGTTTTGATGAACGTAGAGGGAACTAAATGGTGGCAAGATTTCTACACTGCACTTAAAGTGGCAAATTATTGATTCTCAGTACACTATAAAAACGTAAGTATGCATATTGTAATCTCCAAAGCAATATTATAAAAATAATCAAAGATACATAGTAAAAATCACAATACATAAAACCAAAAGGAATGGTAAAAAATGTTTTAATAACCCAAAAGAAGGCAGAAAATAGCAAAAGACAAAAACAGAGGGGAAACAGAAAACAAGAAAAGGGAAGACGTAAATCTAAAGAAATTACTAAATGCATTAAATGTAAATGGTCTAAACATATCGATCAAAAATTGATGGAATATGTTTTGAAAAAAACAAGCAAACCAATTACATGTTGCCTACAAGAAACTCACTTCAAATATACTGATATAGGTAGATTAATCATAAAAGAACGGAAAAACATATTGTGGAAACACTAATCAAATAAAAGCCAGAGTAGCTAAATTAACATCAGACAAATGAAATATCAGAGCAAAGAAGATTATAATGCATAGAGAAATATTATCTAATGATAAAGGTTATGTGAAGCAAACACTGGAGGAACTAAAATGACAAATAAATGCATAATTTTATAGACTCCAACACAACTTTCTCAGCAATAGATAGATTTAATAGACAAAAAAATTATCAAAGATAAACATGAACTAAACAAATCCATTAACCTACTAGATCTTATTGACATTTATAGAATACTTCACACAACAACAGCAGAATATGCTTTTTTATCAAGAGCCCACGAAACGTTCCCCAAGGAAGTCCATATCCTGTGTCATAAAGCAAATCCTAACAAATGTAAAATAAGTGAATCATATAAAAGTTTTCTGACAATAATGGAATTAAATTAGAATTTGGTATTTGAAAGATAATAAGAAAATATCCGAACACTTGAAAGCACACTTATAAATAATCCATGGGTGAAAAAAAGTCTAAAGAAAAATTAGAAAATATTTTGAATTACATAAAGATGGAAAACACAACACTGCACAATTTGTGAGACACAGGTAAACCAGTGCTTAGAGGGAAATGCATAGCAATAAAATACTTATACTAAAAAAAAGAAAGATTTAAAAAAAATTAACTTAAGCTTTTAGCTTTTATCTTAAGAGACTATAAAAATAAAAGCATTTTATTAACTCCATAACAGGCAGATGGAATAAAATAATAAAGATCAGAAATCAAAGAAATTAAAAACCTAAAAACAACAGATAAAATCAACAGAACCAAAACTGATTCTTTGAAAACATCAGCAAATTTGATAAAGCTCTAGCAAACCTAACAAAGAAAAGAGAAAGAAAAGACACAAATAACCAATTTTAGAAAAGTAAGATAAAACATCACAACAGACTCCACAGCTATTAAAATGATAAGAAGGGAATACTACAAACAACTCTGTACACTTAAACCTAGCAGCTTAGATGACATAGAACACCAACTCATTGAAAAACACAAATAAGGCCAGGCACAGTGGCTCACGCCTGTAATCCCAGCGCTTTGGGAGGCCAAGGCGGGTGGATCACCTGAGATCGGGAGTTCGAGACCAGTCTGGCCAACATGGCGAAACCCTGTCTCTACTAAAAATACAAAAACTAGCTGGATGTGGTGGTGCACGTCTATAACCCAGCTACTTGGGAGGCTGAGGCACGAGAATCAGTTGAACTTGGGAGGCAGAGGTTGCAGTGAGCCAAGATTGTGCCACTGCACTCCAGCCTGGCCAACAGAGCAAGACTCTATTTCAAAAAAAAAAAAAAAAGAAAGAAAGAAAGAAAAACACAAACAACAAAATTTACCCAAGATTAACTCAATAACCTGAGTACTCCTATAAGTATTAAATAAATGTAACACAGTTAAAAGTTTTCCATAAAAGAAATATTCAGTACTAGATGATTTTACTGAAAAATTCCACCAAATGTTTAAAAAAGTAACAGCACCAATTCTGCATAATCTCTTCCAGAAATAGAAGAGAGAGGTACACTCCCCACTCATTTTATGAGGCCAGATTTGCCCTGCTACCAAAACCAAGGACAGTACAAAAACAGAAAACTGCAGATGAATATCCCTCATGAACATAGATACAAAAAATTTTAAGAAAATGTTAACTATTAGCAAATTGAATCTAGCAATATGTTGAAAAATTAATATGTCATGGCCATGTTGGATTTATCTAAGAAATGCATGACTAACTCAATATTTAAAAATCAAGCAATATAATACACTATATTAATAGTCTAAAGAAAAAAACCAACTTGATTACATCAATGGATGCAGAAAAAAAGCACATGACAAAATGCAGCTTTCTTTCACAATAAAAACTCCTTGCAAACCAAAACTAAAAGAGAACTTCCTCAACTTGATAAAAGGTATCTATTTCTAAAACCTATGTCTAACATTATACTTAATAGTGAAAGATTTAAAGCTTTCCCCCACTAAGAACAAAAAAAGGTAAAGATGTTCACACTCACCATTCTTATTCCCCATCTTACTGGGAGCCCTAGCCAGTGCCATAAGGCAAGAAGAAGAAATCAAAGCGTGTACAGATTGCAAAGAAAGAAGTAAAACTGTCCCTATTCACAACCAACAATAATGTCTATATAGAAAACCTCAATTAACTTACAAAACAATTTCTTGAAACAAAAATGAAATTTAGCAAAGTGGCATGATACAAGATCATACACAAAACTCAGTTGTGTTTCCATATACTAGCAATGTAGAATTGGAAAACAAAATCTAAAGACAATACTATTCCTAATAGCTTGGAAAAAAAAGTTATAAAACTAACAACTCATGCAGAATCTGTACAAAACACTGATGCAGGAAATCAAAGACATAAGTAAATGGAAAGACAAATTGTGTTCACAGACTGGAAAACTCAGTTTAGCAAGGATGCCAATCCTCTCCAAATTGGTCTATAGGTAACAAAATCCCAAGAGGATTTTTCATAATATGGACAAGCCATTTCCAACATACATATGGAAAGGCAAAGGAATTAGAACAGCTAAACACTGTTGAAAAATCAGTTGAAGAAATCACTCTAATCAATTTTCAGACTCACCATAAGTTATGGTAATCAAAACAGCATGGTATTGGTGAAGGGATAGACAAATGTATCAGTGGAATAGAATAAAAAGTCCAAAAATAGACCCACACAAATATAGCCAATTGGTTTTAACAACAGTGCAAAAGCAATTCAATGGAGAAAGGATAGCGTCTTAACAAATAGTGTAGGAACAACTAGAAATCCATATATCAAAAAAATTGAACCTGAAATTAAGCCTCACACCTTTCCCAAAATCTAACTCAAAATGGACCGTCATTCTGGAAAAGTTTGATAGTTTTAATAAAGTTAAATACACACTTACCATACAACTAAGCAAACCCACTCCTGGGTGTTACTCAACAAGAATAAAAAATTCATACCAGAAAAAGCTTTTAGTGGCACTCTTCATAATTACCAAAAACTAGAAACAACCACTTGTTCTTCAGCGGGTGAATGGAGAAACCAACTATGATACACCAATGAAATACTACTCTGCAATTTTTTAAAAAATGAACTACTGATACACATATCAATGTGGATGAATCTAAAAGGCATTATTCTCAGTAAAAGCAGCTGGTCTCAAAGGCTACATACTGCTTGCTTCTATTCATATTACAGTCTCAAAATGATAAAACCATCATGATGGAGAACAAATCAGTGATTGCTAGAGGCTCAGGGTAGGAAAATGCTGTCACTGTAAAGGGATAATATAAGGAAATTTTTTGATGGAGCTGTTCTGTATCCTGATTGAGGTGGTGATTCCATGAATCTTTATATGTGTTAAAATTTAGAGAACTGCAAACAGCAACAAAATAAGCAAACAAAAAAAAATGACACAAACCACACAAAACACCCCATCAATTCTCACTCAGTCTCTCAGAAGATACAGAAGGAAGATTGATAAGACATTGAAAGGGCAGAGGTGGACCTTGAGGACCCACCTAACTTCATGTCCAAATTCCTCCTTCTGAGCCTGGAGCACTGTTTAGCCACTTTCCCTGAGCTTGGTGACTCCTTAGAGTGCTGTTCTTCAATCTTTCTTGTTTGTCAGAGTTTGGGAAAGATTTCCTGAAGGAATTTGGCCTTGCAGAGAAAGGGCATCTGTTACAAATGCAGATTCAGCTTCAGAGGCATCTGTGATTCTGCTACAAAGTTTAGCATCCAATGATCCAGAAAGTTTCCCTAGCATTTGTGGGAGATGCCTGACAATTAGCTTGATTGTTGTAACTGAACAGCTGCATCGAGTGTATTAGTTTGCTATGGCTGCTCTAACAAAGGACCACAAACTGGATGCCTGAAAAAAAAGAAACATGTTCTCCCACAGTTCTGGAGGCTAGAAGTCTGAAGTCAAGGTGCCAGCAAGGCCGTGCTCCCTTCAAAGTCTCTAGGGAAGGATCCTTCCTTGCCTCTTCCAGCTTCTAGTAGCCCCAGGCATTCCTTGTCCTGTGGCAGTATAACTCCAATCTCTGCCTCCCTCTTCACATGGCCACCTCTCTCTGTGTCCGTGTCATTACATGCATTTCCTCTTTGTGCATGTCTGTCTTCAAATTTTCCTCTTCTTATGAGAACACAAGTCATACTGGATTAGGATCACCCTCATGAGCTCATTTTAACCTCACAGCATCTACAAAGACCCTACTGCCAAACAAGGTCACATTCACAGTTACCAGGGGTTAAGTCTTCAACACATCCATGAGGTGATACAATTCAACCTAAAATACCGACATTTCATAGAAAATAGACAATGACAGGTAAAACAAGAATGCTGGCATTCATTTGCTTAATGTACTAATAGCAACTGATTCTAAAGCTCACTGGCATTCAGTCCTTTCTCCCTTTATCCTGAATTGCATTTTTTTAATTGCTTGGAAAAACAGAGCTGCCCCTGAGTTGTATGTTTTCCTATAATACAGGCTGCACCTCTTTATGAAGTTTTCAAACCAGCACTCACAGACGTAAAACTTAATGTCTTTTTGCACTTACATTCTCCATTTCCTAAGTATCAGCAAAATGCCTTGTTTAACCTCCTAGCCTTTTCACAAAATTATTACAGTGGTTACTGGGCCTGGGAGGAGTATAAACAAATGTCTCTCCACTTACAACCCCCCAGACTCAGCCACATGTCCTACAAAAGAAAGGAGCCATAGTGATTGCTGTGTTATTTTGTTTAAAGGGACTGTGTTGAACTACGCACATATTTTTTAAAAACTGTGGAATTAAGCCTTTTAATATACAGATACAAAAGTGGCATTTCAAAACCGTGGTTAATGAGAATCATTGTGCCTTCCTCCATTGGTTTGTTTATTCCATCAGTAAATATTCATTGTGCACATACTATGTCCACACCTCATGTATTGTGCTGGGGATACAAAGATAAACAGAAGAAAGCCATAAAGACTGATGAAAATTCAATGTCTTAAATGTTCTCAAGGTACAGCAAGATCTTAGGGTTGGCCCTAACTCCGCTTGCAGAGCAAGGGATGACTGTCCTCCAGCTAGTTTGATTCATTGCACAAGTCAACAGCAAACCCACAAGAGCAAAAAAGGGCTTCCCTTTCTTCTGTCTCCTGAACCCAATGAAGCCCAGAACCAGACTAACCCAGAACCTCCTGGGCATCTGTAGACACTTGACACATTCATTTAACAAATGAAAATGCATACCTACAATGTGTCAAGCACGTGTTGAGCCATGGGGATAGAGTTGATGATGAAGAGCCAGGAGGCAGCTGCCCTCACTGAACTTTGTCTAATGAGACTTGCTCTTGGGAAGTCAGGGAGCCAGGAGAACGGGGAGCCCTTGGCACATCAGCTGGATGGGAGAGCCCATGAGGCAGCTGACAGCTGTTCATCCAGATATAGCCCTGATGTCCTAAGAACATGTCAGCTTCTTATTCAAAAACAAGAAGTATTTTTAATTCCCTGGCACTTGTGCCCCATTTAGAATATTACTTCAGTGACTAATCAGGGAAGCCCAACTAATCCAGACTCCTGAGAGCTCAGGCAGCTTCTGAGAGCTGCCAAGGCCACCAGCAGCCAGCAGGACATGTGGCAGCCACTCGTGGAGCCCAGGTGTGCATGAGTACTTCCCATATTCACCCAGCCCAAGTACGCGAGGAGGCTGCCATCAGCAGACACCAAATGTGAGAGCAGCTCTCTTTCCATAAGGGTTTAGAAGCCAATGGCCAATGGGTACCTAAGAAGATATTCAAACATCTATAAATGGAGAAATGCACATTATAAGGAGACACCACTTATACCCATCTTACAGGCAGAGATTTTAAAGTGTAACAGTGTCAACCAAATATTTGCCAGGATGTGAAAAATAAAGTGTAACGAACTTGGAGATCCCTTTGGCAATAGCTAAGAAACCTGCCAACTTGCCTGCCCTGTGCCACATACATAGGGCACAAGGAAAGCAACAGGATACTGTTCACTACAGCACTGCCCATTTCAGCAAAACATTAGAAACTCCCCAATGTCTTGCAGCAGAGCAACAGGAAGAAGGAAACTGTGCACAGGAATCCAATCAACAGATAATCCTCACTGCTACCCTGTAAGAGAGGTATACTATTTACCCTCATTTCCCAATGGGGAAACTGAGGAACAGACAGGGTAAGTAACTTGCCTAAGTTCCGTACTAGGCAGAGCCAGAGTTCAACCCAGGCCACCTGACCCCACATCTGTGATCTTACTCATTCTGTAATCCTGCCTCTGCAGAAATGTGCAGAATGGACATGGAGGAATATTGCAATTCTCCTGGAGGTTTACACATGTTTGAAAAATGTCCCAATTATCAAAGAAGAGATAGATATGCTGCCAAAAAGAGCTTCCCAAAGTCCCTCTGTAATGGTTAATTTTATGTAAACTTAGATGGGCCACAATGTCCAGATACTTGGTCAAACATTCTGGCTGTTTCTGTGAGATGGATGGTTTTGGGATGAGGTTATATTTAAATCCTCTGACTTTGAGTAAAGCAGATTGCCCTCCATGATGTGAGTGGGCCTCATCCAATCAGTTGAAGGCATGAATAGAACAGAAGGCTGGCCTCTCCCAACAAGAGGGAATTTTGCAGCAGATGGCCTTCAAACTTCATCTGCATTATTGGCCCTCTCCTGGGTCTCCAACCTGCTGGCTCACTCTGCAGATTTCAGTCTCTGTAATTGTGTGAGCCGATTCCTTAAAATCTCTCTATCTCTCTCTGTCTCTCTCTCTTTCTACACACACACACTCACACACACACACACACAGACTTGATTCTGTTTCTCTGGAGAACCCTAGCATCCCCTCCCTCCAGCGCTTGCCCAGTATTGCAGCAGCTGATGGACAGATGAAAAATGACCTCATTGCACTGTTCCTACTTTCTCCTTTCTGGAATCTTGAGACAAGAAGGACAAAGAAGACATAAACTACTGTAACATCACACTCTGAGGAAGCTATCATTGATTCCATTTTATAAGGAGTAAGACTGAGGCTTAGAGGAGCTGAATAACTTACCAACGTCACATCAGGAAAGCAATGAAATATTTTCAGGCTCAAATTCTATATCTTTTCTCCCAAAGTATATGGCAAGGACCTGGATGGTGGGCATGCCTCAGCTCTGCTAGCAATCAAACACAAGTGGACAGATGCCATGAATCCTGACAGCTGGTCGGTTTTGGTACTAGGATCACTGAAAGGAACAGTTCTCCTGCAGAAGACTCTATGATTGACCCACAGTTCCAGCCAGCCAACCACGATGGCTCCCATCTTATACTGTGTGATACCCCCTCCCCCAGGGCATACATTTGTAATGCTTCCCAATAGCCAGCTCCATTCAATAAGTACTTGTAAAATAAATTGAAAAAAAAAAGGCAAAACTCTTTGCCCTCTCATAAAAGGCTACCCCTAAGAGAGTAAGGAGAAAGATCATGAGCAAGGGTAAATGTTGTTGGAGAGACTACTGGTTAATCATGTAGATTAGGTAGCAGGGGAACAAGGGTGTGAAACTAGAATATCTAATAACAAAGCACAGGATACCTGAACTACCAAAAAATGAAAGCAAGCACTCATAAAAATCACTGATAAATTAACCACCAGGATGAGATAAGGGATCCCACACTGTGGTCAAATTTTGGTGGGGGTCATAGTGATAGCTCCAAAGCACATATCCAGACTCCTTGATGTCAGACAACCATCGCCATTATCTTGAGTAAGAGCAGACATAGAATTCAGACAAGATACAAGAATGTATAATGTTTTGGGGGATAGCTCACAGTATGATATGGAAGGGTAAGTGACAAAGATTTGCCTGACAGCAGGCAAGAGAACTATTGAAACACAGGCCCTATCTGGTCTCTGAAACACTTAAATAAATGAAGATATATAACATACTTGTGGATAAGGATACATAATCTTATGTAGACATAAATTCTTCCCATACTTATCTGTATATTTAATGCAATTCTATTCAAGATTCTGACAGAATTTTCATGAACCCTAATAAGCTAATTCTAAAATTTACATGGAAGAATAGCCAGTACACTTCTGAGAAGGAAGAGTGAAGAGGTTTGTTTTATCAAATATCAAAAATTATTATGAATCTATAGCAATTAAGCAATGGTAGTACTAGTGCAGAATAGAATACAAAGTCCTAAAACAGATATTATTCATAAGTAAAAAGGTTCTAGATGTCCAAAGTGGCAGGTCAGGTCATCAGACAGATGAGGACTATTCAATAAATAGGATAAGAAAATATGATTATCCACTTGGGAAAAAAGGTTAATTTCAAAACCTAACTCATTCCAAACACAAAAATTAGCTGTAGTTGTATTAAGAACTTAAATGACAGGGCTGGGCATGGTGGCTCATGCCTATAATCCCAGCACTTTGGGAGGCCGAGGTGAGCGGATCATGAGGTCAAGAGATCGAGACCATTCTGGTCAACATGGTGAAACCCCGTCTCTACTAAAAGTACAAAATTAGCTGAGCGTGGTGGCGGGCACCTCTAGTCCCAGCTACTCAGCAGGCTGAGGTGGGAGAATCGCTTGAACCCGGGAGGCGGAGGTTGCAGTGAGCTGAGATTGCGCCACTGCACTCCAGCCTGGCGACAGAGCGAGACGCCGTCTAAAAAAAAAAAAGCACTTAAATGACAGAAGCTAACTTTAGGACTTTTACATAGGTGAATATCTTTCTGATCTAGGGGTAGAAAAGGATTTTTTTTTTCTTTATGAACACAAGTACATGAGGTTTATTTGAAATTCCAATTTATTACAAGTTCACCCTTTAATGGGGCCCTTCCTCCTTGAAGACAATTAAAAAAAAAAAAACAATTCGGGTGTCACTGAAGTGGGAACACAGGATTCTCACTATGAACAAGAACAGACTGGATGTAGGAGGCAGGGGAAGCTGGCGGTGGTGGGGTTATGAAGCTGTGATGTCAGTGCCAACTCCATGCCTATAGAAGGGATGGTAAACTACCCAGCAGCTCTGGAGCAATCCCCGTCGTCCTTGGGCGGGAGGATGGGGGAAGCAGGGGTCACACTCCGCAGTTTAATATTGAGAGGCTTGATTCTCATGTTCTAGGAGCTGCAGTCCCCTTGGTGGACTTTAATTTAAATAGGTACAGAAGAGCTTGTGTGCTCAAAATTTCCAAATTCAAAGGTGATAAGAAAATTAAACGCTGTTTTGTATTTTATCAAAATCCATCATAAAAGGGAAAGAAGACTACAAAGTTTTGCCTAAATATAACAACTAGAACTAGATTTGTTGTGGGAAGGGGCTCTCAGAGCTTCTCTGCCGCTCTCTCCTCCCACCCCCCACTGACACTGACCGCTGGAATCCTCAGGTTCTTGAGTTCCAAGTCTGAGGTCAGAAGGGTCATGGGAGGCAGTGGTCGCAGCACCGCTCCGCACCCCCCCACCTCCAATATTGCTGCTTGCCTCAATGAGCCTCCAACCCAACTGCTCTGCAGGAGAATGGATGGGCTGAGGGAGAAGCCAGGGAAGTTAGAGCAAACACATTATCATAGAAACTGTACTGCACATGTGCCAAAGCGAGATGTCAGGAGTATCTTACAAGATGTTCTTTATACAATATCACTGCTGAAACAAGCAACTTTTAATAACTAGAAAAGTCAATTAAAAAAATTAAATATTTAAATTCTTCCTGCTTTTCTTCTGCTCCCCTAAGAGCTTGTCTGGTATGTGGGAGGGCTGGGCTCCAACACCCCTCTGGCCAGATCCATCAAAGTAAAGGTTATATGCATGATTATAAGCAGGACCCCAGTTTCTAAGTGAAGTGCCTCAGTTTTGTTTTTTTTGTTTTTTGTGTTTTTTTATTTATTTATTTATTTATTTATTTATTTTTGGTTAGGGGGAGTTGTCACAAAGAAGGGGAGAGAGATTCAAGAATGGCTCCAGGACATGTCCCTTTACTCTGCCAAGATCAACTCAAAAGACCACAAACGTTTCATGATGCTGGTGAATACAGAATTCTGTATGGCACTCACTGATATTGTCACCTGAGAGGAAGATGGGGTAAGAGACAGTGTATGGGCTTAAAGAAATAAGACTGTATATAAATACAGATTAAAAAAGAAAAATTGCCACCATCTCCCCTGTTGGCCTGATTACCCCTGATCCTGCTATGTAACAGAGCAATCCCTCCCCTGGAGACCAGAGGGGCTTGGCACTGTGGTGGAAGCCAGAGTGAGCAGGGCCTTAGGAAAGAAGGCAGGAACAGGAACTGGGTTCACCAGAAAAGCTAGACCCTCAGACTCCTCCTGGAAACCCTCAGAAGGAGGGTTATAGCCCTCTTCATCCCTTAATATTTCTGGACAAAGACCACCAACCCAGTATCAAGCCCCAGGATTTCTTAAACAAACCAAAAAAAAACTGTATAGAATAAATAGTAGATAAATTTTACAATATCCAAATTAATAACTTGTGTTTATCAATGAAAAGCTTCAAGGAAGTAAAAAAGACAAATGGAAAAATAATAGTTGTAACACTTATAATTGACCATGAATTTATGAATAATATATAAAGAGCTTCTATAAATCAATAAGAAAAGGATCTTCTACCCAACAGAAAAATGAGCAAAGACACAAATGGTCTTCTCACAGAAAAGGAAACACCTGTGAAAAATAAAACTAAGTTCTTTAGTCTCCTTGGTGATCAGAGAAATGCAAATCCAGAACACAATAAAATGCCATTTTATACACATTTTATGGACACAGATTAAGAAACCTCCATGTGTTTCAGAGTATGTAAATCAAGAACATCTCCCATATTTTGCTGGTAGAAGAATAAATTGATACAATCAATTTGGGAGTTTTTTGGTTTAATTTAAATATTCATGTCCCCAGCGATCCAGCGCCACTCCAAGAGAAACTCTTGCACATGTACAGCAGGAAGCAGCACAAAAATGTTCATAATAACACAGTTCACAATAGCAAAATCTTGATATCATGTCTAATGCCTATCAACAGGAGAATGGATTACAAAGGAGACACCATTCACAACAGCGTCCTATTGTAATATTATATAGCATTCAAAATGCTAATGAGCTCTGGCCACACACAGCAATGATGAGATTGTGTCACAAACCAAGGATTATGAATAATCCAATTCTGAGGTCCAACTTATAACCGAAAAAAAAAGTGGACAATTTTTTTTGAAAGGACACCCATTTCCCTGGTCAGACAAATGCTGTGATCTCATCCTTGCAAGAAGCGTAAGTGTTTGTTGCAGAAGAATTTTTTTTTAACAGCAAGCCCCTCTTGACATTTCTCAACTCAATACCACAAACGAAATTTCTACCCAAGCAACCCACAGTGAGATAAATTGGGATTTAAATGGCAGAGGCTGGGGGTTTAGCTGCAACCAGTTTTATTTATGCATGAATTCAGGCAGCTAGGAGAGGATTCTACAGCCCTGATGATAAAAGTTAACAGGAACATCAAGCAACAGAATTTGGGAAGGAAATGGCTTCTAATCAATCCATCTGCTGGAACCAATTGCCTGAGATAAAGCCAGGCCACGCTGTTGAAGATGGATAATCGGGAGTTTATTGGACAAATGAAACAGCAGTGATAGAAGAGGTAAAGTCATTGCCAAGAAGGAAGGTAATTATAGCAGGAACAGCAGAAAAAGCTGCTATTAGATTTCAGTTTTCCCAACACTGTTTATGTTCTTTCCCTGCAAAGGCTTTCTCACCCTCCTACAAGAACTTTGGAGAATCAGGGACATGAACATGTTATGTGGAATTTTCCTAACCCAACCTAAGCAGAGGTCTGTAAACTTCCTAAATTCTCTGCATCAGACACCGGAATGGAGAAAAAGGAGAACTAACCCAAAAAGATGGGTCATAGTCATTAGCAGATACATAGGCAAGAAAGTTACCAGGCTGAAAACCCATGTCTCAGTGATCTCCAAAGGACTGGTACAAAATGAGACCTCTCCACTTCCTTGACTCCAGACAGTGACTTTAAACCATCAGGTACCTCATCCAGGTTTGCATATCAGACACAGAATAGGATCCAGGGCAAAAATAGCCAGGCAACTCTCAAACACCCATGAAAAGACAAACTCAGTTCTCTTCTCAGCTCAAACTCTTTCTCCTCCAGGAAGCCATCCTTGACTGCCCCTGGAATCCTTGAAGGGCTTCTTATGCAATTGACAACAGTTTTAGTATATACTCCTATTTTGGCACTTAGAGAATGAGCAAACATTACAATGGCTATCATGATGTTATTAATTCATTAGACAAATATCCATTGAATACTACTTCATACTAGACAGTGTGCTGAGCATTGGGGCTATAGCAGCGAACACAAACACATGCCCATTTTCTTGGGGCCTACTTCATAGGAAGGGAAAACTGCTTCACCAGATGGCCATAATACTGTATGTTTGATTACAAATCAAAGCGAGGGCTATGAAGGGCAGGCAGGGTGCCCAGGGACCAGACCATGTTGGCAGGAGTGGGACTGGGATTCCAGAAAGTAAAGTTTAAATTGATTTCTGAATATGGAAAGGAAGTAATGAGGCCGGGTATGGTGGTTCATTCCTATAATCCTAGCACTTTGGGAGGCCGAGGAGAATGGATTGCCTGAGCTCAGGAGTTGGAGACAGGCCTGGGCAATGATGAAACTCCATCTCTACTAAAATACAAAAAAATTAGCCAGGTGTGGTGGTGTGCACCTGTAGTCCCAGCTACTCGAGAGGCTGAGGCAGGAGAGTTGCTTGAACCTGGGAGGAAGAGGTTGCAGAGAGCTGAGATCTTGCCACTGTACTCCAGCCTGGGCAACAGAGACTATGTCTCCAAAAAAAAAAAAAAAAGTAATGAGTTGAAGGTGTGAAGGCGTGTGTGTATGTGTTTGTGTAGAAAAAAATAAGGCAGAAGAAATATGCGCAAAATTAGGCGGCAGATGAATCATGAAGGCTATCAAGATTCCAGTCTTTGCCCTAAATTCTATAGAAACCTTTAAAGGAGTTTGGGATAGGGATCTTTAAAGGACAGGGTAGGTGCAGGAGATGACTTTCACATTTTGCATTTTGAAAAAAACTCACACTGGATGAAGAATAGAGATGGTCAAAATGAAAATGTGAGGATTACTTAATAGCCGATTGCAATAAGAAGTAAGGAGAGAAATCTGGGGCTGATATTCTAATCTCATTGAGGGCAAAGATAATGAAAATCTAATTTGGATTCAGAAATGAGGAGCTGGAAGCCAATATTTTTGCAGTGACGAAATAACTCACTAAATTAGCACATGTGATCATCTGAAATAAACTTTCTACTAGATTGGGAACTCCATGAAAGCAGAGATTTTTGTCATTTTTTTTCATCTGCTATACCTAACACCTGGAACAATACCTAGCAAATAATAAATGCTCATTAAATATTTGTTTAGTGAATAAAATGAATTAAAAGCAAAATTTTGGGACAGTAATGCTCGACTCCCAAAGAATATTATGAAAAGCATGAAGAGATTAATGACAATGGCATGGATTAGGATGGCAGCTTTTAAGTGCTCTGTATAAATGAAGGAAAGAGGAAAAAAAAGTCTCAGATCTCTAAATCTGAGGCTCGATGTATGAACTGAACATAAAGGACTGGACTCTGAGAAGACTATTCCAAGGAGGAAAGAACGTAATTTCAGATCAGACTAAATTCACTGATATGGAAGCACTTGCCAGAATTCTAAATTCAATGTCCTAGTACAAGCAGCTGAGAGTGGTTCTAATTGTTTGCTCAGCTATTTAACAGAAATATAAACTCAACAGTGATGAACTCTAAATGAAGTTGAGATGCCAAACTTCTCTGACATAATGTAGAGGAAACAGTCCAAAGACCAAAAAAATATTAAAGTTGATGTATGTCGGCCGGGCATGAGGGCTTACGCCTATAATCACAGCACTTTGGGAGGCCGAAGCGAGCAGATTGCTTGAGGTCAGGAGCTCAAGACCAGCCTGGCCAACATGGTGAAACCCAGTCTCTACTAAAAATACAAAAATTAGCCAGGCGTGGTGGTGGGCACCTGTAATCCCAGCTACTTAAGAGGCTGAGGCAAGAGAATTGCTTGAACCACTGCACACCAGCCTGGGCAACAGAGAGGGACTCTGCCTCAAAAAATAAATAAATAAATAAAGTAGATGTACCTCACCCTACTCACCTATAACCACATTCCCAAAAGCCACTCCCTTCGGCAAGTGTTGATAAATACAAAGATGAGGGGAGTGCTAGCATTTTGGAAAAACATGTTAGTGCCTGGTCTCCACAGGCTGTAAAGTGTTGGTCAACTGCAGTTGAAACTAGTGCCCTGATTTCAACAGAGATGGGCAGAGCACCCACACAAACACCAGGAGTAAAGTACCTAGCACCTAGGTAATCGGCAGAGCCAGAGGGGTCGTCAGAATGTTCTAACCCATGGAGAGAGCTGGCAGAGGTTAATTGACCCTGACCCTGAACCTTTTACAAGGCAGGAAGACCTCAACTCACATAAAGCATCACAATTAAGTATCATGAATACTTAATACTTCTTAGCTTTCCCTAAAGGGACCTGAAACTATTTGCTGTGGGCTGAGTGTTTGTGTCCCCCCCAAAATTCAGGTGTTGCAATCCTAACCTCCAGGGCGATGGTATTAAGAGATGGAGCCTTTGGGAGGTAACTGGATCATGAAGTGCTAGAATAGGACTGGGGCTCTTTTAAAAGAGGCTCCTGAGAGCTTTTTTACCCCTTCTGCCATGTGACAACTCCATGACAAAATGCCTTCTATGAACCAAGAAGTAGGCCCTCAGCAGACGCTGAATCTGCTGGGACCTTGATCTTGGACTTCAGTCTCCAGAACTGTGAGAAATAAATTACTATTGTTTATAAGCGAAATCATTTATGGTATTTTGTTATAGCAGCCTGAATGATCTAAGACACTATTTATCAGGATAACCCTTTGCACTGAAGGAAAGGAAATAATACCACGATCTTTGGGGTATCATTGAATGCTGGATCTTGACTAATCCTAATTCCTGGACATCTGGATCTACCCATGGGTCAGAGTAGGGGCTAATGCAGGTCAAATGAAAAATAGAGTTTCAACCCTAGTCAGTCCAGTGGGACCTCAGACCTATTCAATAGCTGTTTTCCAATTTCCCGAGTGTCTGTTTGGAATAGATATCTTCAGCAGTAAGATAAACTTCCCGATTGACTCTCCCTGAAAATCAAGTGAGGGCTAATAAGGCCAAAAGGGCAAAATGTAAACTATTTCCCTCTTCCTACCAAAATAACAACAAAAAAACATGACTACATCCCTAGAGAAATCAGATAAATTTGCTTCCTCATTAACTATTTGAAAGGTACAAAGCAGAGGATTCCACTCACATCCCTATATTAACTTTCTAAGTTGGCAGATACAAAAAGTAATGAGTTATATAGATTGACAGTGGATCATCATAAACTTAATCAAGTGGTGACTCCAATTGCATCTGCTGTTTCTGATATGGTCTCTTACTGGATCAAATCAATACAGACCCTAGCAACTTGTACATGGTTATTGACCTGTCAGTATGTTTTTCCCTTTATCTCAAACAACAACAAAAATTACTAGAAGCAGTTTACTTTCTCCAGATAGCTATAGCAATAAACCTTCACTATCCTTCCTGAGGTCCATAGCAACTTTCTGTCTCTGAGCTACACAGTCCATAAGAATTTGACCGTCTGACCAGTTAAGAGAAGAACATCATGCTAGTCTAAAACATTGATGACATCATGCTGATAAGACAGACATAGAGGGCATAAGTTAGCAGGTATGAAGTGCCTTGATAAGATACGTGTATATATGGTAGAAAATAACTTGTATGAACCTGCAAAACTTAGTTAAGTTTTGTGGAAGCTCAGTGCTGTATGGTTTGTCAGAATGTACTCTGCAGAAGAAAAAACAAGATGCTGTCCCCTGCATCCCATGTTATTCACAAAGAGGCACAACACTAGGTGAGCCTTTCTGGATTTGGAAGCAACAGATGCCATATTTGGGTGTGCTGCTCTGATCCACTCACTGGAGAAGTTGAAATTCTGACAACTTTTAATGGGGCCCAGATAAAGGGTAAGCTCTCTACTTTTTCCAGGCTACAGGACAGAGGCTCTGACACTCAGCTCCCACAAGTCAGGATTTAACATGACTCCACTGAGTGAGGATGCTGTATGGAACTCACACAAGTTAAACATGCCAGACATTTATAGGGCTTGGGAGCCAAGTTATGCCCTACTTGGCAAGAAGCTATTCTCATTTTTCAAATTGGGCCGTTCCTGACTTTCTAACAGACTTAGGAAAGAAGAAATGCCTAATAATGGAAACCATACTAAATGGAAACCATATTAATGCATAGGCTGAGCCACCCAACATAGACTGGATGTTTTCAGATTCACTAAGTGAGTCAAAAAGTTAAGGATATGCATTAGCATTCCATCATCCAGTACAAGGGCATATACATGGTCATGCCTGTTCAGGCCCTGGAGCCACAAGAAAGTCACCAGAAGGCTTCTCCTTGCCTGCACATTCTGGCCACACAGCAGGCTCTCTCTCAGCCCACATCAGGACTGCCTTTAGCATGGATGGGAAAAGCAGATTTAGGCATACCACAAAGATCACTCGGCAAGTATGTAGATGCCATCCAGAAGCGCACTGCCATAGCACTACAATTACACTCAGTCAATGGCTCACTTTCTAGCCAGAATGTCATAGACTTAAAAGGAGCAAGTTTTCAGGCTGGGCACTATTCCCTCTGACTTCATCTCCTACTACTCTCCTTCTGGTTCATGTGACTCTGGCCACGCTGGCCTCTTATCTGATTGGAGGACATTCTATTCGAGCCCCATTTCCATGTAAGCCCCCACATCTACTCAAGCCCTCACTTAAGGTCTTTATGTTTACTGTCCTCTCTGCCAGGAGCACCCTTTCTTGAGTTATTCAGATACTTTGTTTCTTCACCTTTTATAAAGTTTTCGCTCAAATGCCCACTTCCCAGTAAGCTTCCTCTTACCACCATATTTAACATTGAGTCCCTCTCAACATGTTACAGCTCCTTTTCCTGTAATGTTGTGTGGCACTTATCATAACATACCATATACCTATTCATCCTGTTTATTGTCCATCTCCTCAAAGTCTCATCTGAGCAGAGAATTTTATATTTGGTTCACTGCCTCAGCCCCTAGAACTGTGCCAGTTCCATAGCAGGTGCTCAAAAATATGGGTTGAAGAAACGCACACGGGTGTCAGTCAGCCAAAAAGGAATAATGTCGTGAACATTTGGCTTTCCTTTGGCTTTCCAGCCACCAAACTCCCTTTCAGTTGGTTAGAAACTCAACCACAGCTTTAGTCTTCTTAGAAAGCTCATTCCTCCTACCAAAGATGCTTAATGGGGTTAGATATTTTCTCTCCCAATGCTCTGGCAGCTATGGCAAAAGGTGGAAACAGGATAATCTTACCCAACTTTCTAAATATGATGAAAACTGATACAAAAATGCAAGCACTCTAAGAGAATATTGACACCATGCTAGTGCAAGCCAATGTCCAGCTGTGGAGGAAGTGGCAGGGCGAGTGGAAGTGGCAGCCACGTTCAGCAACAGCCCTACTGCTCAGCCCTACTGTGGCTGAGGGGATCCAACTGCTCTGGGGCCCAGACTCCCTTGGTTGCTGCTCATTTTCTTAATCTTGTTCTCTGGACTTCCCATTGACTCTGTGACCTGCCTAGTGTCTTAACAATCCGTCATTTTAGCTGATTAAGTTAGTGGGAGCGGACTTCATCGTTGCAATCTGAACCTGACAGTACAGAAGGTGAGGCAGGGGAAATTATTACAGATATTATTACAGATGTGGCCAGAAAGCAGGAGCTGGAGTCATTTCAGATGATGCTAAGGACCATGATGGGGCTGTGGAAGTAGGAAGCTGAGGGACAGTGGAGGAGTGGGTCACTGGAAATCAGGAGGTCAAGGAAATGTGTTGAGGGGTTGCCACATAGACAGGGAAGTTACCGAGCATTATGTCTGGACTTGGGCTGGTGAGGAAGACAGTTATCCAGGGACCAAAGTCTCAGAAGAGTGGTAGGAAGTAAACAAGAGGCTGAGTTAAATAGTCAGACTGACCCCAAAGAGCACCATCTTTTTTTTTTTTTTTTTTGAAACAGAGTCTCGCTCTGTTGCCCAGGCTGGAGTGCAGTGGCGCGATCTCAGTTCACTGCAAGCTCTGCCTCCTGGGTTCTTGCCATTCTCCTGCCTCAGCCTCCCAAGTATCTGGGACTACAGGTGCCCACCACCACGCCTGGCTAATTTTTTGTATTTTTAGTAGAGACGGGGTTTCACCGTGTTAGCCAGGATGGTAAGAGCACCATCTCTTATAAGAGTAGCAGCAATCTCTCTTTCTGAATCCCTAGAGTGTAGGGCGGCAAATGTTTGCTAAGGAATCAAGTGAAGCAAGCCTTCTTCATGTGTAACCATGTAAGTGAGAGTTATGAGTAAGAGTTAATTTCTATGAATTCTCTCTAAATTGGGTAGACTTTTTCTGTCTTCTTCACTCCTATCCCCCAGCAGCCGAGAACAGCGTCTAGCACAAAGTAGTCCTCCATAAATATTAGTGGAATATACAATGAATGAAGGAACTTAGTCTTTCTTTTCTCCATTTCACATCTTTCCTGCTTCTGTGATATTTTATTTTCAATGGCTCTAAAAAATAGTCTTATACCACAATTGCTCTCTCAGATCTCTGCCTCCCATTTCTAAACCCAGCACCCTCTTTTATGTGTATTATTCCATCTCCCCGCAAATGGTGAGCAGCTGGGTGGCCAGAACCACATGGTTGAGGGACCCTGGACTTTAGAGTCAGGGGTATTATCTCTCACACTCAGCATCCACAGAATGAGGGTGCTCTGATAAGAGGAGGCATTGGTCTTGAGTCTAGCATGGCCTAAGTCATTCGTTCAATGAACTTTTACTGAGTGCTGTTGTGTGCCAATCATCTGCTAGGCCCTGAAGCAGAAATAGTCTGAAATCCCAGGAAGAAGTTACACACATGTAACTACAGAGATCAAAGGTTACAGACACAAAGTATTGGACCTGCTGCTAAGTATTCCTGGTTTCCAATTTGACCCCAACCACTTACTTGCTATGTGTGATAAAACATTTGTTTGAGACAATAACTCAAATCTCTCCAAGGTTCAATTCCCTCATTTTACCTATGGGAATAACAACTGAAAATAGAATTCCGGGCACATGGGTAAGTATCAAGAGACATGTATAACCTGTCCTTATTCTCCATCTTCTTTCTCTGCTTCTCTGGGCAGTGTGACCAGGCACACAGCAAGTGCTCAGAATTTGAATTGTCAAAGAAGGCTGGACTACAGGGTCTCATGTTATATTTTAGTAAGCACTGACCCCACCCCAGTAAGTGCTGACTTTTGCTACAGAATTGCAGCCATCAGCATGCGGAGACAGAACTACGCACCAGGCTGCCTGTTGCTCCAGCCTTATTTGCAGAAGCAGGGGTTCTCCAGCCACCTTCCCCAAAACCCTTGAGCAGGCACAACTGGGTCATGGTTCAATGTCATAGCCCATTTGGCTGTATTGGCCCTGGTGTCTCCAGGACAAGGGGCAGGTATGGCTGGCAGACATTCAATCCAGAGGGCCACAGTATCCAGCTGACAACACAAGTGTCCTTCCACCCTTGAGTTATTTGTGTGAATCAAAGTAGCTCTCCCTGATGATTGTGAATGATTAGTAGTTCTGAGCATGTTGCAGGTAGAAAAGCAGGTGTGGGGATTCCAAGTAGGAAAGAGAAGGAAGATTTGGGAGAGGATGCAGGTCCAGCCTGGGCCTTGCAAAGGAGGGAAAGAGAGGAGGTTGGCCTATCCCTTAGTGCTCACGTGTGTGGAGGCACTTGCCCCATCTCTGAGCCCAACAGACCATGCCCAGACTCAGTGCTACAGCTGCCTCACCGCAGATTTCCTGTGCCACGTCCCTCCTCCTCACACAGACTCTCCCAGGCACTTCACACCCACTCTCCCAGGCACTTCACACCCAGCTGCAAGGTGCTGTACTTGTCCCACAGCTCTAGGAAAAAGAGAACGATATGGAGCAACAGTTCACATCCAACAGGGCAGTCTGCTCGCCTCTGTTCCAGTGGAGGGGTGATCCGGCCCTGGGCCATGCACCGCAGCCTTCTGATGAGCTCCTTCATGAGCACACAGACTTCTGATGAGCTCCTTCATGCCATGAGCCACAACCAAACCCTGGCATCAGAAAGCTCTCCCTGAAACACACCAAAATTGCCCAGCTTGGTCAGAATTCTGTAAGTGCCTGTAGCAGGTGTGAGGAAAGCAGACTGGCTCTCTGGCCTCCCATAACCCTGTCAGGGGAGATAAGACAGGCTTATGTAGCAAATGCTACAAGACAGACGGCAGCCCATGCCAAAATGTCTGGGGGAACTCGAGTTACACATGCAGTGTTCTCACACAGCATGACAACCTGTCTCTCACTCCAACAAGTCCTAGGTTCTTGATTGCAGCTCCGAGGCCAAGAGCAAACAGCTGGCTTTGTTACATGCACGTGACTGCAGGTGCCCACGCCTTCCAGAGCTGTTTCTTCCAAACCTCCTGTGAGTGCCTCTGGAGACTACCAGCCCTAAACAGCCAGCCAGAATGCTGGGGCCACAGACAAAGACTTGCTGCTCGGGGAGCTCTGGCCTGTGGTTGAGAGGATCAGCCCCGCCTTCCAGCTCCATCTCCCTGCCCCACCAAAGGCTGTGTGGCAGGAGGCTGCCATGTGTTTCAACAGTTACCACAGACTCAGGGTTTTAACACCACCCATACAATATTGTCTTCTTTTTTCTCATGATGCAACCAAATATTTTTCTGCACTTGGGTAACTTCAAGAGAGGATGCAAATTCCATCCATGATGGGCCTTCTCCAAAAGATACTGACAATGTGGGCTGAGGAGTTTGCAGCTCCAAATCAGAAGGCACAGTCAGGACACCTAACACTGGATTCTGGACTGTGCTTACAACCCAGGACCCAGTGCCTCTTATAGGACAAGATGGTGCCTTTGATCAAGGTGAAGCCTTCCCTCTCCTATAAAAGTACAGAGGAAAAGAGATAGGCAGCTTGAACTAGAGGCCTAGCAGCTGCCTCAAAGCCCACTCAGAAACACAACCAGACCAGTTTGGCATCTGCACCACAGAAGGGCCTATGGACCCCTGCACACCCGCATCCCCAGCGCTGACAATGCTTGTCCTCACACAGCTGCCCCCTCCACCCCAGCTGTGCTCTGCACAGGCATGTGCCCCCTTGGTATGGTGGTGCTCCCCTGGGAACCTCTCTACAAACCGCATAATGCCTCAGCCACCTGCTCTCATCAGGATGTCCATAGTGCCCCCATCAGGGAGAGGGCTCCTGGGGACTGGAGGGCTTCGGGGCATGGGGCATTTCCCCTTTCCTGCCCATGACCCCCCTCCATTCCAACCACACCCTGGCCAGCCAGGAACACAGGTGGAATCTGTGTTCTCAATTCACAGTTGAGGAAAAGCAATTCACATGCATGCTAGGCCCTTTGCAGATTGTCCATTTAATCCTCCCAGAACTCCACTGGGTGGAAGTTGGCATCTCTGTCTTTCACAGATTAAGAAGCTGAGGTTCAGAGAAGGTGTGTGACTTGCTTTGAGCCACACAGCTAGTGTGATAGCTAATAGTGGCAGGTCAGGATTCAAACAGAGGTCTGGCTCCAAGCCAGGTCTTCATGGGCCAAAAGAAGGCAAAAATCTATTTGGCCAAGGCCACGAGGCATCCTCAGCATGTATACCCAGGGCCAGGGTGGTTCGAGGAGCACACTGATGGCAGCAGCCAGCTCACTGGCAGCCCTGGTACATTGCCAGCTTCATCCTAGTGATTGCAGAGGGAAATATGGCCATGCTAGGCACAATGAAAGCTTGGAATGCCCAATCTGAAATAAATTAGCTCTCCTCTAACTGACTTACCATGGGGAAAACCATGACAGACGTCATATATCACCTAAGCCAAATTCAATTTGTACCCATTTATAACACAAACATGTCTCAGGTGTAATGTCAACAAGCACGTTTAGCATTCTGCACACTCCCCTCAGAGGGCTGGCAGTGCCCTGGCCAAGGTGAGACAGTGCACATCCACTTATGAGCAAACTTGTTCCAATGTGAGGGAAAAATCAGTTTCCTTTAGATAACAGAGTGGGACCTTCACACATTTGCAAAGTGCCAGGCAGGAGCAAGGATGGAGCCTGGCACAGGAGAGGAGCAGAAGCAGAGCCGGCTGCCTAGATTCTGTGTGACTGACAGGATGGTTCCTGGCGCTGACCGACTGAGCCATCCATGCTGGATGTGCAGGAGTCGACACTCGCCCATGCAGCTCCAGCCTGTGGGCCCTTGTGTGCATATGGGCACAGCCCCAGCACAGCCTGTGGGCTCAGGGGAATCAGGCTGAACTGAGTTCCAACCTTTACTGCTTATTTGCTCAGTGACCTTGGCTTCTCTAAGCCTCAATTTCCTGCCTATTAAAATGGAGTCAAGAGTGTGGAGGTGACTGTAGGTCAGAGGAAGTAACAGATGGAGTGGGGAGAGTGGAAAGTGCCTTGTAATTCATCATTAGCTCCATTTCTACCATTTGCAAAATCCTAAAGCATCATCTGAGGTCAGCCAGCACTACAGGCCTCCAGCATCCAAAGCCCACAGGACAGGCAGGCCCCACAGGATAAGGCCTCCCTGGGGAGAAGGGAAGCCCTTCTGGGAGCAGCATCTTCCTGGTTCCTTGTGGGTTTGATGACAGTGACAGCTGACTCTGGAGCCTTTTGTTAAACTATGTTTACTGAAGTTATAATAGACATATAGAAAAGTACAAAAACCCTAAGACTAGTGAATTTTCATAAATGAACACACAGAGATGAGAAAACAGAATATTAGCAGCCCCCCAGAACTCTTGGAGACCACTTTGCAAGGCGTTTTTGTCTTTTCTGATTCTCATATGTGGTTAATTCAACCTGACCTGCCTGCCTGCCTGCCTGCCTGCCTGGGAGGACGATAAAAGTGTCTGAGAGCCACTCTACAATGCAAAGACCATCATCAAAGCTTGGGAGGAATCCACTTGCAATTGCAGGTGTGATTTAAGGCCTTAATCTCCCAAATGGAAGCCAAGCAAATTTTTAAAAGGCATTAACTCCCTATCTGGGCTTCTCTGGGTTTCCTGGTAAGAATCTCAGGAGAGACTCCTTGGCGAACAGGTGTCTCCTCCCTCCAGCTGAGCCTTTTATTATAATACTATAATGTGCTCAACAATGCTGTGATCTGATCTGATCAGCAGACACCGCCCCTGATGAGTAGGGATTAATTGAACAGATTTCTTTCCCCCAGAAAAAGATATTGATGACACCCTGAGATGTCTGTTTAGGGTTTTTGTTTGTTTGTTTCATTAATTGTTTTTCTTACTCTTTTCTTCTGCTTGAGGCTTTTTGTTTTTTAAAAGGACTTCATTTTTAAAAGCAGTATTAGGTCCACAGCAAAACTAAACAGAAAAGACAAAGATTTCTATATCCCCTCAGCCCCCACACATGCATGATCTCCACATTATTACCATCCCATGCCTCAGTACCATGTTTGTTACAACTGATGAGCCTACACTGACACATCATTTTCACCCCAGGTCCATAGTTTATATTCAGGTTGATGTCTGGTTTAAACCTGCAAAATTTTCCCATTCACCTGCGTAGTATATTCTGTAAGTGAACCCTGGAGCCATCGGCTTCTCAGACCACAGGCTACGCTAGACCCTCCCCAGAAGATTTGGAGAGCTTCACCCTCAGGTGTGTCTGCAAAGGGCTTACTAGCTCTTAGTCAGCTGAGGGTGAGCTGCAGCCTGGGTCCCGGGCTGTCTAGAGCAGCCGCATCTAAAAGAAGTAGAATGCAAGCTGCATATTCAATTTAAAATTGTCTAGCATCCACTATAAAAGGGTAAAAAGAAACCGATTAATACCACATTTTACTTAGCCCAATATGTCTAAAATATTATCATTTCAACATGTAATCAATATAAAAACTATTAATAAGACACTTTACATTCATACAGTCTTCTAAACCAGTGTGTATTGTACATTTACAGCATATCTTAATCTAAACGCTAAATTTTCATCAGAAATACTTGATCTGATTTTATATTTTATAAAATGTATCTTTAGAAGAGTCACATAATCAAGTTGTTCCAAACATACTTAAAATTTTTTCTAATACTTGAATCAAGTGTCAGTTTTTAAATTTAAACTAATTTCAATTCCATATTATTAAAATTTAGGTGCTCAGTAGCACCGGCCCCATTTTAAGCCCTCAATGGCCACCTGTGTCTGGTGGCTCCTGCGTAGGACAGTGCAGGGCCACAGGGTGAGGCCAGGGAGGTCCCCTGGTCAGCCATGCTGCCTCCTGCCCATAAGGGTCATTAGCCCCAAACCCCAAAGTCAGTTAAAGGATGAAAAAAAAACACAGGGCAGTTCTGACGCTCTTTTTTTTCCCCGAGGTCTCTGTGAGAGGCTAGCTCAAGGCCACTAATCTACTGGGGAATGGATGGTGTCAAAAATTCCTTTTTTGGCCAGGTGCAGTGGCTCACACCTGTAATCCAAGCACTTTGGGAGGCCGAGGAGGGTAGATCACCCAAGGTCAGGAGTTCGAGACCAGCCTGGCCAACATGGTGAAACCTCATCTCTACTAAAAATACAAAAATTAGCCAGGCATGGTGGCAGGCGCCTGTAAGCCCAGCTACTCTGGAGGCTGAGGTCGAAGAATTGCTTGAACCCAGGAGGTGGAGGTTGCAGTGAGCCAAGATCGCACCACTGCACTCCAGCCTGGGTGACAGAGCGAGACTCCATCTCAAAAAAAAAAAAAAAGATTAAAAAAATTCCTTTTTTAAGACCTGCAAGATTCTTGAGAGACCAGCACCCAAACAAGGGTCATATGTTGGGGGGCCACAGGATATTGTAATCACTGCCTCCTGGGCAGAGCGACTGCAGCTCTCCCAGCCTCCAAACCCCAGCCCAGGGTGCTTGGAGGTCCCTGTAACTCCTCACGCTGCCACCTGCCACTCTGTCCTCAGGGGTTCCCAGCTTGGAGAAATAGAGGCCCTGCGGAGGGATGCAGTAGAGAGACCCTGCCCCTTTCCACACTAAGATCTGACCTAGTCCGAAGGTGAAATGTATGTCCCAAGAAAGACTGAGAAAACTAATCAAGGCAGAATAACAGTCATCACTGCAATCCACACCAGCAACCAATATGGCCTGCGGGCTCACTGTGTCCTGTGCTTCACTGTAAGCCCTTACCTCGTTGAACTCTCACAACCCCACAAGCTAAGTACTAATCTGATCCCACTTTCAAAGGGTGCTCTTGAACTCCTGCTGTCTTTGCCCATCCCGTCTCCACTGGCTCAGTCCCTCAGTCCAGTTTTCCCTCTAAACCTTCTCTCAGCAACCTGCTCCACACCCACTGCTTCTCCAGGTCCCTGTCCAGACCCCTCTCTTGAACACCATTTCTTTATTACCCACTGCTTGCTGACAATACCTGCACACATAAACCGCACCAACACTACACACCCAGCATGCCCAAGGCCAGACTCACCACCTCCCCCTGACCAAACACATTCTTCTTCCTGACTTCTTGTGCTCCCTGAATCATGTATGATTTACACAGCCACACACGAAAGAACCCAGGCCTCCTCCCAGACTCCGCCTTATATCTCATTGGTCTCCTACCTCTCTAAGTTCAATTGCATCTATTCCCTTCAGATGAATCAAGTAAGTTCCCTTCCTGTCCCGGCACTACACATGACAAGGGCCTCACCATGTCTCACTTAGGCTGCAGCAAATAAACAGATAAGTATACAAAAATAATAATCATCATCACAGCCATGTCTGTATGCCTAGGCCATGAGTGAGTACTCATTAATTATGTTAAATTAATGCCTTCCTCTTCTTCCTCTTCATTCTCTCCTCTACAGTGCCTCTGAACCAAGGCCAGCCACTTATGTCTCCAGTTGCTGAGGATGGAATAAGAGCTGTCAGATTTCCCTAGTCAAGGGCCCCATGAGCCATGACCAGGGTTGGAATGGGCAGTCCGGGATGAGATCATCCAGTTTACAAATGAGTATGCAGAGACAGCCAGACCTGGTTAGCATCCGCAAAATAACTTGCTTATTTCCTCTTTCCCATTCTTCTTCCGCTATCACCCAGCCGTCTGGTGCAAACGACCCATTTAAACACCTCAGAAGTGATGATAAGAAGCAAGATAATAAGGTAGCCAGCCCCCAGTTCCCCAGGCAGCAATCACGGTGTGTAGGATAGAGTGCAGGGGCCTCTCTGTCGCTCTCATCTGTCACACATCAAGTGAGAAAAGATCTATTTTTTCCCTAGGCAGCATGCCTACAACTTCAATTGGCCTAAAATAAGCTTGGCTAAATTTTCTTGTGAGACGCTCTAAATGGTACACAGTGATCCATGCAAAGTCACTGCGAGGAGCCTCACCATGACGTGGATGGTGCCGGGGCTCCATAAGATGAGCAGATCTGAGCCAGGTGAGGGCTCCCCCCAAAAGTTAGTTTCCCTTGTTCTGAGCCCCACCTCTCTGGCTGGCTGCAACCCAGACTTGCTTCTGTCCACAACTCTGCTTCCCAGCAGCCTCACAGTTAGCCGGCTGGGCAGAGCCTCTCCTCCCTGCCCCTAGTGGTTTCCTGCCCCATCACTCACTTCTGGTCCAGCATGCAAGGGTCTGCCTGCCCCTAGCCCAGGGAAACAGTGGGTGGGTATCCCCACCCCTATCTGCCAAGAAAACACCCAAACAGGGAAAACATCCACAGAGTAGATAAGATGAGGCCAGTCATCCTAGGATGTCATCTGGGCCCCAGGAGTCTTTATACCAGGCTAATTCCAGGAAAGCTAGCCTGAGGAGTTTGCAGTGTCAGTCCCAATGTTAGTCTCCCAACCACACACATGGTTTGAAACTGCTTTAAACAGGAATCATGTGATAAGAGAGGCTCAAAATGCAGCAACATGTCCCCATGTGGCCAGAATAGTTTGCGAGAAAGCAGCCCTGATGGAGAAGTCAGTCCACAGAGGCTGGACTCAAATCCTGGCCCCCTCTCACCAGCTCTGTGACCCGGACACATGGCTTCCCCTGGCTGAGCTGCAGACCACGAATAGTAACAGTACCAAGTCTTCCTTTTGGGAGCACTAGGTAATATAATGCATGTAAATGTAGTGGTTATGGTGGTTTGCTCGTTTCTGAAGCATTGTCCTGCTATCAAAACTATGCAGCTCAAGTGCAGAGACCAGGCCTTGAATACGAGTGATTCCAACAAGAGTAACTTGACTCACTTGACTCCTCACTTCCTAGTGATCACAAGCAGCCTTATTAGAATTGGCTTCCCCCTTGTAGCTTTCCTACGATAGTAGTCACAATCAAGGGGTTCCACCAATTGGGAGCACATTCTATGTACCACGTGCTTTCCAAATGCTGTCCTTTCTACCCCAACCACAACCCCAGAACAGGAGCCATTATCTCCTCGGTTTACAAATAAGAAAACAGACTCAGAGAGGGTGGATGTTTCCTTCAGGTGTCATACATATAGTAAGTGGCAGGGCTGAACTTTGAACCTGGAGCAGAACCTGATATCTGTGCCCTGCACTGTGTATACAAGCGGATATCATGCAGCTCAGCCAGTGTGAGACTTCAGCCTGGACAGTGGGGCTTCTCCCTGTGAATAGATAATCAACCCAGTTTTGGGACCTGGAATAATGCCTCTGGCCCAATCACTCCCCTAGAACTCCAGTAAAATTGAATTTTGAGCCTGCAAAATTGAAAAACACACCTCTGTTCTGAGGAACCTGCCTCTAAGCTCTGTGCCTCAGGGTATAGTCCTTCTGTGCCCTGGGGCAGGGGAGCAGCCACTTTCCAAGGCCACACCACCCTCTGGCTTGTTCCTACAGCAAGACCTTCACTGGCACTGCCCTCAAGGCCCAAGGGGGTGTTGCTAACATGCACAACACAAACCCATCCAATCCCAGAGTTTTGATGATAATTCGCTCCAACTAACATATGTGCAACATCTATATTATTGCATAATTTATATACGTTTCACACTATTTGTTTGGGATATAAGCGCCACACCACAAACTATTTGCATATAGATGGAGAGTTATAAACATATGCTTGTATTTGATGAGTAATATCTGAAACACACACGCATACATATTGCTCTTACAAGCGCAGAAATGCTTGCTTTCTGCCACAACTTCAAGTGCACAGTGATCCTTTAACAGTTTGTTAATTTTCAAAATTTACAATACTGAATTGTCCATTTCTGAACATATAAATGATTTTCAACTGCTTGATGAGCTGTGGCTGTCAAGTTTCAGAGGAACGGAGGATGAGGGTTTCAAGCAGCTTTACTTCAGAGAAGCTAGGACTCAGGCTCGCTTTTGTTGAAATCTCCACTGGTGCTGGCTGTCAAAGAGAAAGCCATTCCTTCGATACAGTTTGCCATCTACAACCAAGTCAACTATGTCAGTGACAAAAACCTAATATGTACTTAACAAACACACACTCAGCTTCTACTCTTTGCCAGACACTGTACTCAGCATAGGGGACCCAGAACTGAACCTAACTGGTGAGAAGCAACCCAGACCTACCCTGGAGCCAGCACATAGTAAATGCTCAATAAACAACAGTGGCTATGCTGGATGACCAGAGACTGGTGCTTATGGTGGCAGGTCCAGCCCTCATGTGGAGACGTGTGGGGTGTGAATCCCAGTTCAGCACATGCTGGCCTGGGACTGGAGAAAATGCATGACATGCTCTCAGCCTCTGTTCCTGGCCTGTAAAGTAGGAGAGCACCACTCTCACAGCTGCGTGGAGACAAAGAAACAACCTGTCTAAAGCATGCTGGGCTAAGTCTGGCTCACAGTGGGGCCATGGGAGGCAGGACAAAGAGCTCCACTCAGAAGGAGCAGCCTGTCTTGAGGGTCTCCTGGAGTAAAATCCCAGACTTCTCTATCTGATTATTTTCTAATTGTGGGAAAATATACATGACATAAAATCCACAATTTTAATCATTTAAAGTATAAGATGCCACAGCATTTAATACATCAACTGTGTCTAGTTCTGGAATATTTTTATCACCCCCAAAGGACAATCTTATATCCATTAGCAGTCACTCTCCATTTTTCTTTCTCCGCAGCCCCTGCAACCACTCATTGCTCTCTGTCTCCATGGATTTGCCTGTTCTGGACATTTCATATTAATGCAGTCATGGGATAGTAGTCCTTTTTTGCCTGGTTTCTTTCACTTAGAATAATGTGTTCAAGTTTTATCCAAGCTGTAACATGTGTCAGAACTGCATTCCTTCTCACGGCTAAATACTATTTCATTGTATGGATATGCCACATTCTATTTATCCATTGAGCAGTTGACAAATATTTGAATTGCTTCCATTTTTTGGCTGTTGTGAACAGTGCTGCTATGAAACCCTTATCTGATTTTAGTGGCTGAGACAGCTTTAGTTCCAGTTTTTCAGGTGTTATATTCCTGAACTCAGATCATCATATCCTGCTTAGGGAGTCTGCAGCTGCTTCTCCCAAGGTCCATTTGAGACCAAGTTTCCTTCAGGAAAAGCCACAGCTGACGGCTTCCAGTCACATACATTGTTTGCCTTTGTTTTGCCTACACATCAGACATCTTGTTTCCTCAGCTCAGGTTTCCTAATTGATTTATTGGCATAAAATCAACACTCACATTATCACAACAGTCATTACAGAAACTGCTCATCATTAACCTGTACCTATTACCATCATGAATTTCTCATTGGCTGTATATAGACAAGAGAATAAACATTGATGAACACTGGGTTTGTACCAGGCTGTGTGCTGGCTCCTTTATGTACATCATCTGACTAATCCTTCTAACCACTCCTGGAGGTAAGAGTTAATACCCCGTGATGTATGGATGAGAAAATTCGGCTCAAAGATGTGAGGGGACTCTTCTCAAATTACACATCTCACAAGACGCTGAGATGCCATTCACCCACCAGGTGTGTGTGGCTCTAAAGCTGCCTCCTGCATCTCCACCCAATACTTCCTTGACAAATAATTATGAGCAAGGAGCCACCCTAGCCTGCTCCCACTGCATATGTGTGCTGCCCCACCAAACTGTGCACTACAGCAGCTGTGCAAGTAATCAAAGCTTCCATCTTTGTATGCTGTTTGGGGGCAACTCTACCCCTTTCATTCTGGGAAGGTTATGGAATTTTATATACTCATCAAGGCTATGGAATTAAGGTCCCAGGCCATGGGATTAGAAGCCAGGGTCACTGGTATGGACCGATTTACTGTCTGACTTCAGGTGAGTCAGTCCACCGAAGTGAACTGGCCCTGGTCTTCCTACAACAAAACAGGTATCTGTTATCTGCCCTGGAATGCTCTAGAAATGATGAGAACTATCTTTAGATATTGGAATCTTTAAATATTCATGTGCAGATTCACATGGAATAGCTGGGCTCAAACCTAGAGAAGGGGGGAGCATGTGATGCTCAGTCTTTACCAGAGATGACTTGCTCAGGACAGCCAGGGCTCCCCTCAGCATACCTCTTAGCCAGTGCCCAGGGCACTGGAGTATCCACCCTTCTCTCTGAAAAGCCACCTGGTAGGAGGGACTCTGGGAAAGGGCCATTTTCATCTCAAATGACAGGTTTGTAACTAAATAAAAATTGTGTCATCATGAGCAAAATATTTATACTTAAAAAAAAAGTCCCAGCTCTTCTAGTAGACTTCCAAATTGTAAAATCTAAAGGTAAGAAATGTCCCATGAATTCTGAAGGATGGGAGGCAAGAAAGCTGATTGCTTTATGCTCCCCACTTAGCCCTTACAGCAACCCTTCTGATGCCAGTCCCCAGATCCCTTCTCCTCCCTTAAGCATCCCTCTAATGCTATACTATGGCTATCCACAGTGTCTGTGTGCTGGTGAGTCCCCAGGTGTACCTGCAGCTCCAGCCTCTCCTCTCATCTCCAGCATAGTAGATCCAGCTGCCTCCTTCAAGCTTCTAATTGGATTTCTCAAATTTAACATTTCCAAAAACACACTGGTTTCCACTTCCCCCCAAAACCCACTCCTCTGTCCTCCTTGTCATTGTAGCAAATGGTCTCACCATTCTTATAACTCAGGCCAAAAGTGATGGCACTGTCCTTGACTCTTCTCTGAAGACTCACATCCAAGCTCTAAGAAGATTCTGTCAATCTGCCTTCAAAATACATCCAAAATCTAGGAGAGGATCACCCAACTCACAGGTATTTGAGAATATGAACCCATGTCTGAGCTCACCTTTAAGAGGTCTTATCTGAGATTCCTTGTGGAACAGAGTTCCATCAAAGCCAATCCAAAAGGCCTAATAATCATTCTTGTACTTTATGCAAATAATCACGCCAAGTATAAGACTAAAGTTTATTCTATGAACAACATGTCCCATCATAATTTGTTTTTACCAAAAATGAGGACTGGAGAGAGAAATTATACTCCAAAGCTTATCATACATTTGTCATTAAATCCTAGTCACATTAATTATTTTTAAGCTTTTTGCCTATATTTAGACTAACCTTGCTTATTCTTGTGAATCTAGTGGTGATCTTCTGAAGCTTGAAAAAAACAAAAAGGGATGGGTAACATAGAAATCTGGATCAATATGCTAGTTCTGGGCAATTAACCTGCAAATTCTGCCAGGTAATGAAAGTGAGTAGGGTGTCCATAACCCAGAGGTTTCTTTGTTTGGGAAAATAAAACCAAGGAACTTCATAGACCCCCAGAGGGAAATTCTATATCTTGGCAAGTAAAATTTTAGAGGGAAATAATCTACTATGTTACCCTTGCAGGAATTGCTATACTTACTCTACTATTTGCAGTAGAGCTATACATGGTAGCACCTTCTAACTGAAATATTGGACAGAGAATTTCCATTGCTGTAGAATTTTGCTTAATTCTTCTCTTTAAAGAAGGGATAATAGTTACCAACAAAAAGGAAGCATGAAAGTTTTACTATCACTGAGTCTACTAGAACTTCTTTTTGGTTTTGGTAGTATATCACACCCTGGCTATGTAAAGAAGGTTATAAAGGAAAGAGATTTTATATAAGAAAGGATCTTGTATGGTAAATGCTTTTCCTAAAGAGAACGGTTGGTTTAAAACAAGGATATTTAGGACAAGACAGAAGGTTTAAGCATGTCTTAGATGGTCTGTGGAAGTCACGAAGGGATTAATAATTGCAGGAAAGATTCCCCAAAGGTTAACAATAAAGTTTCTCTAACTACCCAAATCCAATACCATTTATCCTAAAAGGAATGTTACTTGTATATTAACGTTTCAGCTACATCTGGTGGAGGCAAAACAGTGTTACTACCCATCAGAATGGTTGACAGCAATCAAACTCCAAATGGTGCTGCAGATAGAACCATGCATGGGCATGCCTTCTTCCAGGGACCCTTAGATCAACCCCAGGAGGAGCCCTAGCTGCTATTCTGCACATGATGCCCCTTTTCAGCAGTAAGTAGCCAGAAAGAGTCATCATCCAACACTCCCTAACAGCAGTTAGGGTTACCACTCCAGAGTGGGGAATGATATAGGAGTTAAGAAGAAATCATTTAGGCAGATAGTAAGGGTATGGGAGTCCTCAGTAAGGCTTTCCTTTTGAATGAAAGGCAGCTCCAAATCATTTTCTAACAAAGAGCAGCCTGTAAAGTCAGGCTGCAGACATAGACAAGCAAGCTGGGAGCTTGCACAGGTGAATGCCAGCAGGAACTAAGGACTAGACATGTTCAAGATGGTGGCTCCATCTTCCTTCTCTTTGCCAGCCACGTGTACAGTAAGGAGCAAACAAGATGGTGCCTTCTGCGTGCACTATGTAAACATCATACCTGATCAAACCAATCTGTGAGCCCTATGTAAATCAGACACTGCCTCCTCAAACCCGCCTATAAAATCTGGCACATTTGCCACCAGCTGGTCCTTTCCGCTTGGAGACCTTCGTTTCCACAGAGAGAGCTGTTTCTCTTTCTCTTTTCTTCTGCCTATTAAACCTCCACTCCTAAATGGAAAAAAAATCCAAAATATAAAGAAAATATGGTACATATACACTAGGTAATACCGTGCAGCCATACAAAAGCACAAAATCATATCCTTTGCAGCAACATGGATGCAGCTGGAGGCCATTATTCTAAGCAAACTGATGCAAAAACAGAAAACCAAATATGGCATGTTCTCACTTGCAAGGGGGAACTAAATGTTGAGTACACATGGAAATAAAGATGGGAACAATAAACACTGTGGACTTCAAAAGGGGGGGCAGGAGGAGGGTCAAGGGTTGAAAAACTACCTATGGGGTACTATGTTCACTACTTAGGTGACAGGATCATTAGACGCCCAAACCTCAACATGATGAAATATACCCACATAACAAAGCTGCACATGTACCCTTTGAATCTAAAATAACAAAAATAACAAAAAAGCAAAATGCATCCAGAACCTGACCACTGTTTAGGTTTTCCACCTCTGCCCCCCCTCATCAAAGCCCCTACCACCTCTTGCCTGGGTTGCTTCCACAGTGTTCTCAAAGGCCTCCTTCCTTTCCCTTCTCCCACCATGGTCTGTTCTTCACAGCAGCTCTGCTCAAAACTCTCTAACAGCTTCCATCTTAAAGTACATTTCTTTGTACTTTTGTAATTTCTTTACAAAGTCCCACAAAGCCCTACCTGACCTGTTGCTGAGGTGTTTCTTGCATATGGCAAATACACCCCTGCTCAGAGTCTTTGCACTGGCTGTTCCCTCTGCCTAAATGTTCTTCCCCTACGTCCCATTGGTTCACTCTGTCACCACCTTCAGGCCTCTCAAATGCCCCCATGTCAGAGGGGCCTTCTCTCCCCTCCCCACCTTTCTGTAATATGACCCTCACCCCATCTTTTCCCCTTACTCATCTTCACCATATTTATATCTATGTGGTTATCTGGTTGTTACCTGTCCCACTTCACTGCAATGTAGGCTCCATGACAAAGGGGGCTTAGTCTGGCTTGTGGCCATCTCTCTCTGAATGGCATGTAATAGGTGCTCATTAAATATCTGTGAGAGGGAGGGAGGTGGGGGGGCAGCCCCCGCCCGGCAGCCACCCTGTCCTGGAGGTGGGGGGCGCCTCTGCCCGGCCACCCCGTCTGGGAGGTGGGGGGCCCCTCTGCCCAGCTGCCACCCCATCTGGGAGGTGTACCCAGCAGCTCATTGAGAACGGGCCATGATGACGATGGCAGTTTTGTCGAGTGTAAGGGGGGGAAGTGTGGGGAAAGGAAAGAGAAATCAGATTGTTGCTGTATCTGTGTAGAAAGAAGTAGACATGGGAGACTCCATTTTGTTCTGTACTAAGAAAAATTCTTCTGCCTTGGGATGCTGTTAATCTATAACCTTACCCCCAACCCCTTGCTCTCTGAAACATGTGCTGTGTCCATTCAGGGTTAAATGGATTAAGGGCGGTGCAAGATGTGCTTTGTTAAACAGATGCTTCAAGGCAGCATGCTCCTTAAGAGTCATCACCACTCCCTAATCTCAAATACCCAGGGACACAAACACTGCGGAAGGCCGCAGGGTCCTCTGCCTAGGAAAACCAGAGACCCTTGTTCACATGTTTATCTGCTGACCTTCCCTCCACTATTGCCCTATGACCCTGCCAAATCCCCCTCTCCGAGAAACACCCAAGAATGATCAATAAATACTTAAAAAAAAAAAAAAAAAAAGAGTACCTCCTTGATACCAGCTAATACCCATTCAGTATTCAAATTTCCCTGATTATCTCAAAAATGTCATTTCTATCAGGTTTTTAAAGAATAAATCAGGATCCAATTTAAAAAATAAATATAAATAAATAAATAAATAAATATCTGTGAGAGGGAGGGAGAAGAAATTTTGCAAACATGAAAATTCAAGCCCAGAAACTTAAGCTTTCCAAGATTCAAACAGCTAGAAGACAGAGAAGCTGGAATAGAAGCCTGGCCCACCCAGCTTTGTGGCCTTTGCTCTTTCTTCAGTAACGAATTGCCTCTTTGGGCCACATTCTTTGCAAAAATTGAAATCACTGTCCTGAGTCAAGCAGAAGAGCTGGAGACAGATGTAATTTCCAAGAAAAATGTGAAAAGTAAATGTTATGGTAACAAATTGCCCATGATCTAATTATCATCATCAAACATTTCTATTAAGAGCCCATGAGCACTTGCTGCCCGGCTTGGTACGCTCCTCAGAGGGAGAGAGGAGCTAGAACAGCTGGTCATGGAAGCCCATGAGGATGAATGATGCTTCAGTCTCTGGGTCATCCAAGGGGTGGGAAGAAAACAAGAGTTGGAGAAGGCTGGGAATTAGGTGTAGATGAGATAAGAAGTGGACTTCACTTTCAAAAATACAATCAAACTCTGCAGGGAGACCACCTGAAGCCCTTGCAGGGGGGCAGCAGTCTTGCCTGCAGAAGTGTGGACTATAAGACAGCCCCAAGGAACATCCAGACAGAAAGGAACCTCTGTGTCCTCCCCATAGTCCCAGGAAGATGGGCCACCCGGAGCCCTCTCAGTTGGCCACTGGGCCTCCAGGCTGGACAGGGCTCCAGGCCAGCAAGAATGTCAGCTCTCTCTCCCATCACACCCACAGAACCAGTGGCTCACTAGGGGTCCTAACAAGATGGAAATGGTAACCACTCCTACCACAGCAACAAGTGCCCAATTCCCACCAACCAGCTCCAGTGTTAAACATGCTGGCTGCATTCCCCCTGAGTTAAGGAAAAAGAAGGATGCCAATCAGAGGGTGTCACCCTGTGTCACCTCATCCCCATTGACCCTGGGGCTGCCCCTATGGAAACTGAGGATTCTGTGTCTACACTTGGATTCATTGAAAAAAGTCTTCAGGGGACAATGTTATTCAAATTTACAACTTCAGAATTATAAATTAGCTTATTTTAAGTAAACTTACCCTTCAGAGTAATCAAATGGAAAGCCTACAGCTCCCGCTATGTTGTTAATATTCGATTTTTTTAATGAGGTACTTATAGATGTGCTAACGTAGCTAATGGCATCGAGGTAACAGATGTCCTTGTGAGTTGCCCAGAAAAAGGGAGAAATTTAATGCTGAATTGAGAGTGTTAAATTCCATGTGTGTGTGTGAGTATGTGTGTGCAGAATATCAAATATATAAATATTTTTAAACAAGATCTGTATTTCATTTTCAAAAGTAACCAAAGAAGGCAAATGGAGGGAAAGACACCAAAATTTACCCACCAGCTGCTAATGGCAGGCATTCTGTCAGGCCCTGCACAGAGATCACCTCACTGAATCTTTCCAGAAGCCTGGTGGGTTTAGCTGTCTCCATTTTAGAGGGGAGGAAAATGAAGGCTCCAAGCAGTTGCCCATAGTCACTCAGATTGTAAGTGATAGAGCAAGAATTCAAATCCATTTCTGACTAGTTCCAAAGCAAACATTCTTTCCGCAATACCACACTGCTTCCCGGGAACCAGTTGAGGCTTTGCTTCCTGGTAAGGGGCCTTCCCTGGGCTCCCCTGGCATCTAGGATGTCCCCTGTAATCATTTTATCATGTGATTACAATTACAATGATCTGTTTCCTCTTTGGCCTGCCTCATTGGCGTGTGAGAGTTTCTGAAAATAAGGGCCTTGTCTATCTTTTCCTCAGATTGTGCCTGGATGAACAGATGTATGATGGATGGATGGACCTACTGATGAATGGATGCAATGAATGGACAGATCAATGGGTTGGTGGATGGATGGATGAATGGATAGATCAATGGATTGGTGGATGGATGGATGGATGGATGGATGGATGGATGGATGGATGGATGGATGGATAGATGGTTGGATGGATGGATGGTGGGTGGATGGATAAGTATACAGGTACATGGAATCACTGGGGACTTACTAAATCTAGGATCTAGGCTCCAGGGAGCACAGTCATTTGGAAAGGAGGTTTTTGGGACTGGGCTGTCTTTGGGACAAGATCTCTCTCCCTGGTCAGTGTCTATAACCACCCTCTCACTAGCGGCCTTGATTTTACCTAATCAGTTCTAATAGGCCTGT
Source organism: Homo sapiens (assembly GCF_000001405.40). Taxonomy (NCBI): domain Eukaryota; kingdom Metazoa; phylum Chordata; class Mammalia; order Primates; family Hominidae; genus Homo; species Homo sapiens. The sequence continues at coordinate 86,035,184 of NC_000010.11, forward strand.
TATCCCTTCATCATAGCTGGGGCTGAGACTTTACCTAACAGTTCAGGGGTGGATTTCTCTGGAAAGGGAAGCTCCATGCTAACAGATGTTATTCTTATTCGTAGAGCTTTCTAATCTCTTCCTTAGTCGTGCTGAATTATTTGACTCAATATCCTGAAGGATTGAGTTCCAAAGGTTGATTAATAATATGTTGCCAAAAAAGGGTGTCTATTTTAAATTTGCAGCCTTTTAATTTCATCAAGTGCCCTCTTGACTATGAAAGCATGGATGGTAGAGAGTGTGCTGTGCAAGATCCAGCTCCAGACATGTGCTCACAGGTCCCAACAGAGGAGGCACTGGCCACACAAGCACCATCCACTGTGTCCAGAGTCAAAGCAGGCTGGCAGCACAGAGCAGGTCTATGAAGGGTTCCCAGAGTCCCCTCTCAATGCAGGACTTTTTGTACATTGAATAAATATTTTATTGGTGACCACTGGTGCCAGGCCCTGGGCTAGGCACTAGGTGTGCTTTGGTGAACAAAACAGCATAGTCCAGGAGGGAGACAGATAATGAGCATTAAAGTAAATAAATAAATATGTTTATAATATAACATAATATGGAACATAAATCTATAAATAATAATAAATAGATATAAGGTGAGATACACAGGCCCAGTGAAAATAGCAGGTGCTTTAAGAGAATAAAATAGGGGTGGTAAAATATGGGGAAATATCAGCACACTGGCACCATCAAACACTTGGAATGGGAGGCTCAGGCGAAAGCTTTTGAGAGCCCCCTGCAGCCCACCTCAAGTGGACCTGGGCGTGTCTTCAAAAGGCAGGGCTGTGAGGGCACATCGCCAAATGCATTACAATCAGTTAGGAAAAAGGGAAGGCAGGTGATCAGCCTGGTATATGGAGAAGGAAGCCCAGAGAAACAGAAGTCACAGAACTCATGCAATGCAGTTGGGGGAAAGGTGTGTAGGACCCCAGGCCTAGCCTGCTAAGCCCTGGGCAGACTGGTACTGGGTGGCTACGACAAGGGACATTACCACTCTAAGACAGTCCGCCTTGGGCTGGGCAGACTCTCCATGAGGCCATCAGATGCTGTCCTGGGATTTCTGGCCTTGGGTCACACATGGGTTTTCTTGGCTGGTTGCTGTGGGTTTGTCCCTGGAAAGGAAGTCCTTCTAAATGTCCTGACAAAATCGAGCTTTGAGGCTATCAGTCCAAATGCCCAACCCTGCACCCTGGCAGATTTCCCAAGGAATGCTGCCATCTGAGAAGTTTTGGAACGCAGCCGCAGGCACTGTGACCACATCGCCGTTCCCCTGTTCACCTCGAGCCTGTCACCTCCAGCCCCAAGAAGGACCAGCCAGAGGTACAGAACTGATTTCTCCAGAGGGCCAGGATACCCTCCTGTGGCCCTGTCCTGCCTCCCTGTCCCTGAAGGGCTCAGAAACAAAAGGCTTCAGTGCCACCTTGTGAGACCTTCTCACTGCAGCACGGTGAGAGTGTCCACCAGCTGATAAGCAGGAAGGCTCTCCACCGCCCACTTGGTGAAAAAGGAGTGGACGGGGACTTCCAGCCTTACAGAGCAGATGAGGATCGACTGAAACACACACTTGTGACCCAGGTAACCCAGACACCAGCCCACGGCTTCTGCAGCCTGGAGGGAACACTCCAGTCCCCCACACTCTGCCACTTCCCATTAGTGGTTAAAACAATGTAGGCTACATTACAAATCAAAATAAGCAACAAAGCATTTTATAATTAGCCATAACTTGACAAATTAATTAGTACAACAGCACAGTGTGTTCCCTGAAGCATGGCTCACTATATTTTGCTTAGAGAATATATGTCACAAATTACAGATGTGTTATTCAAGGTACTTATGCAATCAGAGTGAGTTCTAAAGGTGCCCTTTTGATACCACTTTCTGGAACGGAAAATGGGGCTCGAGGTAGCTAGAAATATCATCGAACCTGCCGTCCAAGCTTTGAGCAACAAAGGTACTTGCAAAGATGTGCTTCTTTTCCAGAAAGGGGAACCAAGGCTGTCAAGGACCAAGATCTGGCTTTGGAAAGAGTTAATCACACTTTGTTACTTGAGGTGGTATGAAATAAGGGAACATCCGGGCCTCAAAAAGCAGGGAGCCTGATGATCAAGAACATGCAAGCTTGGAATCCTCACTGCCATCTAGCAGCTGTGTGGTGTCAGGCAAGTTTCTCATCCAGAAAAGGATATAGTAATAATAATACCCACCTTGCAGAGTTACTGTGAGGACTGATGTGCTACTTTATGCAAAGTGTTTAGACCAGGGTCTGTTCCATAGGAAGAAATCAATAAAAATTGCTACTATTATTCTAAGATGTGCTTCCCTTAGAAGGTTCAAGAGGTTATTGTCTTAGGAAGCCTTGAGGTTGGGGCTAAGATGCACTACAGAGACATCCCTTTCCCCAGGGACAGGCCTAGTATTAGCCTTGTTAGTTCAGAAACTCAGAAACTGTTTATCTTTGAGGAATAACCAAGTTCAAAGAAATGGATGCATACACCAAAAAAAAATGAGTGGGGTGGCAGTGAGAGCTATAGTCAATGGTGTGTTGGTAAATGTTTAACATCCAGCTCTCGGGTGGGCGTGGGAAGCCCTGAGTTGTGCATTTGCTGGTTTCCATGCTATAAATACTGCCATTGTATGGGCTGAATGTGTCCCCCCAAAATTCATACGTTAAAGGCCTAATCCTCAGTACTTTGGAATGAAACTGTATATGGAGATAGGATCTTTAAAGAGGTGGTTAAGTTAAAATAAGGTCATTAAGGTGGGCCCTAATCCAATATGACTGGTGTCCTTATAAGAAAAGGAGATTAGGACACAGACACTCATAAGGAAGATCGCATGAAGACATAGGGAGAAGATAACATGTACAATCTAAGGAGAGAGGCCTCAGGAGAAACCAACCCTGCCAACACCTGGATTTTGAACTCCTAGCCTCCAGAACTGTGAGACAATAAATTCTGTTGTTTAAGCCTCCTGGTCTGTGGTGCTTTGATATGGTAGCCCCAGCACACTGATACTCCCACCGTGGCCAGTTTCAAGCTATCAGTGTAATGTCTCCAAGTGATACACCATTGGAAGAGATGCATATGATTGGCTCCCATGAACAGCTACAAGCCAGGTACGATTACAAACACCAGCTAAATCTGAGACTCAGATTGAAATCTTGCATCCACTGGACATGCTACAGTCTTTTCTTGGAGGTACAGCTCTTGGGCTGCTGAATCAGAAGCAAGAGGTGACTAATGGGACAAGGGGACTTAGCCAAATGTACAATCATGTGCAGAGCTGCCATGTTTGCTCATGAGCCTCAAAGCCCATTAGCTTTCAGGTGCTGTGCCCTAAACAGGTGATGGCACTGCCAGTGAAACCATACCCTGGAAGTCCAGGGATCAAGCTCCAGGCCCCTTTGCACTGTGTTCAGACACACATGGCCAACATTGGCCTCTGAAATTCCTTTGTCTTTTCTTCTGGGCAGACAAACCTCTACTTCCACTTCTCAGTCCTTCTAAATATCCCATTGTGTCACTTCTCTTTAACGTAACTTTGTGCATGTCTGTGAGGATCTATTGTGTGTTGGCTAAAGTGATGACTTGCAGAAGATGGTCTTATTTCTGATTTCCTAGTTCTTGAAGTAGGGGAGTCATCTCACAACAGCCCCTACCCTTCTCTTCAACAGGCTAAATCTGTAACTCCAAGCCCTAGTCCAAGCCAACGTTATTCTTGTGGTGAGCAAACCAAGCAACAAACAAGCCCAGCCAATTTCGCTTTCCAAGCAGGTCAGAAATCCACCCCTATTCTCTTCCACCTCTACGGTATATCCCTACCACCACTTCTTTCCTTTAGGTCTTGAACATCTGCCAAGACTATTCCATTGTCTCCTAGCTAACCACTTTTCTTTCATCTCCCCACTTCCCTTCCTTCCCTCATATGCTCAACTAGAAAGAGAATCAGAATGCAAATAGGACCTTGTCATTCCTCACTCCTAACCTCTCTATGGTCATTTTCCCCTATTCCTCCACCCTCAACCTTGGAAGTTCTGGAGTTCATGACACAGCTCATGTCAATTCACCACTCTGTGAATAAATAGTTCCACTTAAAATTCCCTTTTGGTACCTATTGGACTACCTGGAACAGCTCCTCTTCACCCTTCAAAACCCCTTTCTGAGTTTTTCTAGCCCATGTTAATGAATCATTATGAGGGACCACTTGCTCCCTTTCCCCATGTTTTATCTCAGATTTTAATTAAGAAATTTTACCCCTTAAATGTATTTTTAAAAAGCTGTTGTCCTTTTCTTCACCTTTCACAAGCTTCTCTCCTTGGGAAGAGAAAGGTTTTACCTGCTTGGTGAGAAGGGAAGAGTTTGACAGCCACTGGCTCACCTAACTCTAGTGGTGGCCAGCAAGAGTGAGTAGAAGGGCGAGCTGAGGCCCAGGCTGGGATCCCCCAGCAGTTGACCAAACAAGGATCAGATCTACAGACCAACTGTCTCAACGCGTAGGTCCTAAGCAATGCATTTGTCGGGAAATAGTGGAAAATCCATTTTTGGTCTCAGCTCCAAAACAGGTCTTTAATCCACCAATAAAATAGAGACGTTTCTCTCTATCTCACTTGTATGTATGCTTCTGAATTAGTGCAGAACTCACAGAAGAGTCAGGTATAAATAATTAGCCCTTGGAAGCCAGAACTTGTGTGACAGGAAAAGACTAGCACATGGAGTGGTAATTATCTGTCAACTTGTCACTCTCCCCCTGTGGATCAGAAGCCCCTGGAGGAGAGGTCTGAGTCTTTTCTCCACAGAACGGGATGCAATCTGAGAAGCACTGAGTGCCTGCCGCATTTCAGGTAGGGCATCCACTGTTGTGGGGCCTGAAAAAGCAGAGTTAAGATGGTCTCTGGAAATGGGAATCCTTATACACTGTTCATGGGAATGTAAATGAGTATAGTCATCATGAAAAACAGTATGCAGTTTCCTCAAAAACTTAAAAATAGATCTACTGTATGACCCAGCAATCCAACTACAGGGTATATATCCAAAGGAAATAAAATCAGTATGTTGAAGAGATGCCTGCACTCCCACGTTTATTGCAGTGCTATTCACAATAGTCAAGATAAACTTAGTGCCCATCAATGGATGAACAGATAAAGAAAATGTGTTATACATAAAACAGAATACTATTCAGCCATAAAAAATGATGAAATTTGTCATTTGTGACAACATGGATGAGTCATTACGTTAAGGGAATTAGCCAGGCACAGAAAGCCAAATACTACATGATCTCACTCATATCTTAAAAAAAAAAAAAAAAAAAAGCCCATCTCATAGAAGTTGAGAGTAGAATTGTGGTTACCAGAGACTGAGGAGAAAAGGGCAAGGGGGAAATGGGGAGAGGTTGGCCAATGAGTACATTGTTAACGTTTGTTATGTTAGATAGGAGGAATAAATTCTTCTGATCCATTGCAAAGTAGGGTGACTATAGCTAACAATAGTGTATTGTATATTTCAAATAATTAAAAGAGAGAATTTTGAATGTTCCCACAACAAAGAAATGACCAATGTTTAAGGTGATGGATATGCTAATTACCCCGATCTGATAATTACACAATGTATGCAAGTGTTAAAACATCACACGGTACCCCCAAAATATGTACAATTATTATGTGTCAATTTTTTTTTAAAGTTGGTCTCTGGGCAACAAGATCCAAGTGCTCAGCAGCCCAAGGTGGGGCTGTCTCCACAATGGTAGAATTCAGGTGCAGCTGCACAACTTGGCTCTCTCTGGGCTCTGCCTCCTTCTGCCTCTCCTCTCCTGCGCAGTTCCTGATACTTGTCCTCTTTCCCACTCAGCCTCTCTCTCACACTTGCTTACATGTGTCATGCAAGATGTGGCTGTCCATTTGTGTTGGTGCTAACCACTTCACTCCACCTATTCATCCACACGGAGACCTCCCAGAGCTCCTTGGTCCAGCCATTATTAAGGCAGGTCTGCTGACATCTGTTTCCTGCAAACCAACCCAGGGTGTGAGTGGTTGGGCAGGCCCTTGAGCCCTAGTGAGGCCTCCTGGAAGGCGTGAAGTCTTGCAAACACCACAACAACAGAGCAAAATGTGCATCTGCTTGCACCATTACTGCCTCCAAGGGCTTAGGGAGAAATGCAAGCATGTTTGAGCTGCAAGTGCATTAGCCACATCCTGTTCCATGATCCACAAGAAAGCTGACCTTATTTAGAAACCTCCCTGGCCAGTGCTGTGTATTGGGTAGAGACCTGAAAAGAGGGGGCTTGCAGGTGCCGATGGATTGCTTTCCATAGTGGGGCCAGTCAGGGGATGCACCTGGAGCAGCCTGAGTATCCTGAGTACAGGCTTGGGAGTCACTCTTCCTGGGTTCAAAGCCCAGTACCCCATCATTCTAGCTAGATAACCCAGGACAGGTCCCCTGACCATCAAGCCTCGGTTTCCTAATCTGTAAAATCTGTTGTGTCACTCAGAGCTATTACAATGTGTGAGACAGAACACTAACATCAAGTCTGTGACCCAAGAGTCACTATGTAAACCCCAAGATTATCAGCTTTGTCATCTGAAAGGAGGAGCGTGAGTGTAGAGCTGCCTGCTGGAGCCCTGACAATTTCCACCACTTTTCACCCAGGATGTTCACATGTCCCTTACCATGGATATCTGGCCTCACGCTGCCTGCTACTGAGGACCCTGTCAGGCCTCCCACCTGGGTAGGTGAACCTTCCTATCTTGCTGCCAGCTTTAACCTGGGGATTTATTTAAGGGGACCAATCAAAGCCAACCCTCTTGCTTAGTGGCAGCCCTTTCCCAACCACCAAGCTGAAAGAGGAACAGGTCCACCAGCTCCTCAGACAGCCCTCGCCATGCAAGGGGGAAACTGGGAGGGTCTCCAGAGGGGCCTTATGAGGGCTTCAGCCAAATTCTCTAAAGAAGTTCATCCAGTCCTTAAAGCCACCTTCCTTCCAGAAAGATGGCTTTCGCAATCCCCCCTGGGACAGACAGGAGGTTTTTCTGTGTCCCTGGGGTCTCTCCTCAGCTGAGAGAAGTCAGCCTGGCCTGATACTCACGCCTCTGGCCCCACAGACTCCAGGCTCACAGCCCAAGAGGATGCTGAAGACTGGGAGGCTCCATGAGAGTCAGGGAAGCCTCTGGGTGCACAGTGTGGGCCACAGTACCTGGAGGAAAGGGATACCAGGAAGAGGGGCTTCACCAGGAGAGATAAAGCCCTACCTGAGCAGAGTCCCAGGACCAAGGGGAGAGCAGGGGCTCTGTGGGCATCAACTGGAAGCTCAGTGGTCCAAGAAGCTTCTGGAGCATGGGGGCCTGGAAATAGCAGGGGGTATTGTAACACCCAAACTGTAGGCTAACAGCAAACTCAAGACCTACAGGATGCACCAAAGAACTCCACAGGAACTAGGGGACTTGCCAGGAGGAGGTGGTGGCCCTGCCCTTGCTTGAATGGCCAAGCTGTACTCAGAGCATCTTCATCTTTACCTCTAAACATCATAGAAAGCCCAAGATGCCAACACAGAGAAAAAACTTTCTGAGAAGCCATCAAGATGTTTATTCTAGCCTGGGCACAGTGGCTTACACTTGCAATCCTCGTGCTTTCGGAGGCTGGGGCAATAGCATCACTTGAGCCCAGGAGTTCAAGATCAGCCAGGGCAACATAGTAAGACCCCATCTCTACAAAAAAGTAAAAATTAGCTGGGCATGGTGGTGTGTGCCTGTATTCCCAGCTACTCGGGAGGCTGAGGTGGAAGGATCCCTTGAGCCAGTGAGGTCAAGGCAGCAGCGAGCCGAGATCAATCACTCCACTGCAATCCAGCCTGGGTGACAGAGCAAGACTGAGTTTCCAAAAAAAAAGAAAGTGTCTATTTTATTAGACATCAGAGAGTGGAGTTACATACCTTCGTACACACAAAGATATACCTGAAATCCCCAACTGGGGAACATTCTCCCAAGCCCCAAGCCCCTCATCACAGGCAACCAGCCAGGGACTTTCTCCCGGAACTCTCCTCTCTACCAGCCCTTGTCCTCCATCTTGCCAGACCCCTCAGAAGAAGGCTATCAAGAATCTGGGGACAAGACACTGGAAAAGAGCTCCCTCTATACCTCGATGGAATTAGACTGACATAAGGCAGACCTTCCTGACAGCCAGGGGCATGGAGCTGCACCTGGAGGAAGCCAGGGAGCCCAAGGCAGTCCTCCCCTGGGAGTGCATCCTGCAGGCCTGAGCCTGCAGCTCTCCTGCGGGCCTGTTGCTGGCAGCCTGGTGATCCTTGCCCTCATTACTGGCAGGCTGGGGCCTGGAGGAGCAGGAAAGGGCACAGGTGGGCAGGCTGCAGGCTATAGGTGACCTACCTTGGCTCTGCATCCAGCCAGAGCTTCAATCTGATCTCTGGCAAATTCACAGCTCAATTGAATTCAATAAAACCGCTCCGGAACTGTACAATGCATCATAAATAATCCAACTACAGGATTTTTGAACACTTTAACAAATACAGTTTCTTCTCACATCCTCCATTTGTTTCCCAAATGTCAGCCCTTACACTGAATCTCACAAATCTACAAAAACTTGCATTTTCTAGAACTTTAAATAACTGGATCTTTACCTACAAGGTGAATTATCCCCAAGCGATATGAGCATGTGAGATTTCAAATTTTAGTGATGATTAATGCATGCCAATAGAAAATGAAAATGAAGCTCTTTTAACATGATCATTGAAAGACTTAATAAACATTACCTACATGTGCTCAATAGTAAGAAAGTGAGTTACAGATTATTATATAATACCAGTTTTACATCTGTTTTCAATAGTCCACTAAAGAAATGTCAGATATTTTACCAAGCCCCCACACAGAAACACTGCTCAAGATAGCAGGGTTTTCAAGGTCAGGAAATGAACTACACTGTGTTAAACTCCATCCCCAGAGTCTAGCAAGTGGCAAGCACATAATAAGTGCCATATAAATGTTTGCTGAATGAAGGGGTGAAGTGGCTAATGGCATTTCATTGCATTGTTTATTTTTAAAATTCTAGGTAAAGACCTGCTTCGTTTCCCTACTTGCTTGCTAATCATAGCACATAAACTTATAAACCAGCATTGGCTTAATGGCTTTTGACATGCTAGTGAGTGACTTTACCTCGGTTACATTTTAATTGCTGGTCTTTTTGCTGGTCTTTCTGCAGTGCTAGAACTGGGACATTGCTGATCAACAGAAGATACCCGATTTGCTTAGTAAAGAAGAATTAGGCATTCATAAAAGCTACCCTCTCATCTGCATGTCCACCGAGGGTGAATTATAGCCCACCTGGTTTTCCCAGGGTCCTGAGACCTCACCTCCCCTAAAAACCTTACTCAAAAGAGGCACATCTATTTATCATATCACAGAGGTGCCGTTACAGGGTCCCCCATGGAATCCCCAACTCTTAGAGATGTGCAACCATAGTATGTGGCAGGGGAAGAGAGCAACATGAGTGATTTCCAGGCTTCGGGGGACCTTGCAGAAATCACACTTTTCTCTGCTAGAGGAGAAGCAATACCCTTTGTTCTTGGGTAGAACTTGGTGGCTCGTTTTGCAGGTTATCTCATACAGGCCAAAAGTACATTCTGTGTAGACTGCCGAACTGGATGCTGTAGCAAGGAGCCTTGGTGGAGCGCAAGAGCATCCCAGGGCCCTGAGTCAGTGCCAGGCAGAATCACACAAACTCATTGCATATTCATTCCTCAGATGTTTATTGGCAACTACTATGTACCAGGCCCTCCTCTTGACACTGGGATGCAAGGACCACAAATCCTTGCTCCGGCGCAGCCTGCAATTTAGGGGAAATTGTTCATATGCAAAGAGTATGTAGCAAGTGTTGTCAAGAGTCAATACTCTTGATTTGTATTAACTCATTCAATCCACACAATAACACATTGTGGTAGATTCTGTTATTGCTTCCAGTTTCACATGAGGAAACTGAGGCATGGGGAGATTAGGTTATTTGCCCAGGGTTATGCAACTATTAATGGCAGAGTTGGAATTCAAACCCTGACTCTGCTTCGGAAATCTTCACTTGCAACCACTGCAGTGGCTTTTTGGACCGAGGTCTCGAAGCACTGGGTGACCACATCTACACATGCTGGAGCAGTACTGTAGAGCAAAATGGACATACAATGTGTCGATCAACAGAGTAATATGGTAGGGGAAATTATTTTGACAAGCGAGACTGCGATTTTCCTTAGGAAGAGACACTTAGGGCAACAACAGACGAGTCACGTCAGTCCTCAGGGTAGCCTGGCTCCAAAGCTTCAGAGGAGAGGAATGTGGCTTATATAATACAAGAGAAGCATATGGGGCTCCTGAGACCCTCTGGGAGGATGAAGATAAGCAAAAGAGATGGAGAGAGAGTGGGGAGAGAGAGTGAGAGAGTGAGATGGTGGAAGGAAGGCGAGGCACCGAGTGGTGGTTGACTGTCTCTGAATACTCCATCCAGCAAATCTTAAGGAACATCTATCAATCTTCATGACCAATTGTCATAATGACTGGTCATTGGTGTGAAGGCCGTTGTTATGGTTGGAAACAGAGGAGGACTAAGGTTCACATTGGGAAAGGTGTGGTGCAAGACAGAGGCTGCACTGGCTGAAACCGTAGTTTAGAGAGAAAGGATGCCAGTGGTTTACAAACTCTTGGGGAGATCTCTGAGTGAGCTTTGGACTTCCACTGGCCATGGACTTGAGCAGGGGATTTTCAGGTGATTTTGAAGTAGGAGGTGGGACTCAACTCTGGAGTCAGGGCTCAGACACCGGACCAAATTGAGGACTAGCTAAAACAGGGATGGGGCAGAAGCATGCTTTTCATAAGACACACCCACCGTTGTGCCATGTCAGTTTACCATTGCCATGGCAACACCCAGGAGTTATTGCCCCTTTCCATGGCAATGACCTGAAGACCCAGAAGTTACTACCCTTCCCCTAGAAATTTCTGCATAAACCGCCCCCGAACCTACAAGTAATTAAAAGTAGGTGTGAATATGACTCCCGAACTGCTCTGAGCTGCTAATCTCAGCACACTGCCTGTGGAGCACCCTACTTTGCAGGAGCAGTCACTGAGCTGCACCACCACCAGAGCTGCAACACTGCTGCTTCCATAAAGCTGTTTTCTTCTACCCTACCACCAGCTCGCCCTTGAATTCTTTCCTGGGCAAATCCAGGAACCTTCATGAGCTAAGCCCCACTTGGGGCTTGCCTGCCCTATATCAATTTCACCTAGATCTTAGTGGCCTGTGGCTGAGTTCCAGGTTAATAGTCAGCATGATCACATCAGGTAGACAATTACAAATTTCTCTCTTCATTCTCCTCCCAAAGTTTATTGCCCCCCATGAGTTGGTCTAATAAAGATTGGATATAACAGTTAACCCTAGATTCACCTTGACACCTGGATTCATCTCCCCATCCCACCAGAGGAAGAAGGGATTGTTATCTTGACAAGTGAAACTATCAAAAAAGGAAATACCAGTTGCTCATCTCTGGACAATTATCCCTACAAAACTCACAACTTTTGATCACTTATGTGCAATCTCTTTACATCTGTAAGTGCTTTGAATCCCAACAATAATGCCACAAATTTTTAAGCCCATTTCAAAAAAAAAAAAAAAAAAAAGACAGAGACTCAGAGAGATCAAACGGTTAGCAAGCAGTCAAGTGGGGATACCACCTAGGTCTGCAGGGCAGCAAAAAGGCCACATGCGCTCCCCCAGCTCTCTCTAGTCAGGCAGTGGCCACACCAGAGGTTGCAGGACTTCTCCATGGCTCAGTACCATGTTCTCTGAGCATCAGAACAAATGATTGCCTTGAAACTAATTAGCTGCTCATTCTCAAAACTAATTAATCTTTGTTAAGCTCACTGAAGTCTCACCTTCAATGACTGAAAATACCAAACTTGAGTTCATCATCAAAGACAGCTCCCCAGCAGGAAACATACTCATCTAAATGACTCAGCCTCCTGAGCTACCTGGGCCCTGGTGGGAGAAGGTAGTCTGGCAACAGGCAGAACTGTAATCCACAAGTGTGGAGCAGAGCCAACCCCTGCTTACACAGACTGGAGCTGGGCACACATTATTAAAACATAAGCTGAAAATCACTTATTCTGCTTTAGGTGATTAATAGAGTTGGCTTTTTCCTGGGACATAGAGGCAGCCCTGAGAAATGAGGCAATTATTCCCAGTGAATGGGGATGTTAAGGGACTTGTTGCTAATAGGGTGGTGTGTACAATTTCATGGTTAATTAGTACTTTTGCGGGGAGCACCGCTACATTGCCCAGCCTAAACAGAGTTCCTAACCCTGCCCTCTCCTTGCCTTCAAATTGTTATGAAGTAAACATTAAGGACTGAGGAGATCAAAGAAGCTCTGGGTTAATTGGAACCCAGCAATGATGCTGGAGATGATTTTTGGGTTAATCTCGGAGGAGCCACCTCAGTGCCCTCCATGGTGCAGCAGAAGCACTCAGAGATGTGGTTTCTAGGGGGAAAAAAATGACTTTTAATCAAGACTGCGAAATGAAATTACGTGTCTAATTAGATAGAAACAACCACAAAACCACAAACTAGGGAGCTCGCTGTAATATTGAGCTTCTGTTCTCAGAGGTTAGCAAGAACTTAGGCGTAAACTCTGCTGATGAAGGCATTTGGATTTTTGTTCTCTGGCCGACTGAAACTTCCCAGGAGGAAAATAACGGTTGTTTTGTCCTCATTGGAAACACCTGATGTGGCAATGCGGTGACTGCATTCCCTTTGTCAGCTTCTGCTTTTTGCTCTCCTGGCCCTGACCTCAAGTTCACCATCCTTGCACACAAATGAACATGTGTTCATTTTCCTCACTTTGGGAAGCAAATTCCAGATGCCCAGTGAAGAAGTCAAAGTATTTTGAGGTTCCAGGATCAGAGATCACCAGGAAGGGGCTCTAATTTGCATTTATTTCATTTCAAGTTCATAGGCATACGAAGCAGAGTACCATATTTTTTTTAATAGAGAATAGAAGACATTGACTTCTTTGACCTCTAGAGGATCACTTGAGTGCCCATCTTAGGTAAAAGTAGGGCAGAGAGGCAGCCACTCCCTTGGGATTGTGAGTCTATTTACGTAATTACTTCCTTTGGAGCCTTCAAAACCTTACAGAGGCCTCTAAGAGAAGAGGCACCAAAACTCCAATACCTGCAATTTAATATTCTAAGTTACAGGCACTTGTCAGGGGAGGCCAGAGTGGCTCTTCCAGGCCCAGGAGCAGAGGCATGCCAAAAGATTTGGGAATAAAATCATTTCAAGGAAAAGGAGATCCAGGCTAGGGGCCTGGGCTGAAGCCCCAGCACATGAGGCTCATGGCAACACTCCCAGCTGATGCTAAAGGCCTCTCCCCTCTGGAGCCAGGGTTCTGGGTGAGTGCTTGTGTTTGGAAATACCATGTGAAGGGGTGGAAGCTGAAAATGGTAGATCCACATGGCTTAAAGCCACACTCACTTTTTATTCAGGACACATCCCACTGAAGACTCACCTTATTTATAGTGTCAACATGTAATAATAATAACATTATGGGACACTGGAGGACATGCTGGGAGGTTTGCAAGCTCAAAGGCCCTACAGGCTTTGGCTCTTTGGTTCCTTCCCCTTTCTGAAGCTCAGTCCCTTCTCTACAAAATGGAAATGGTAATTGACCTGTCTCCCAGAATGAGTGCAAGAACTGAAACCAGAAAGAGCCCTTCTATGCATCAAGCCTTGTGCCAAGTTCCTACCTATGTTGTCTTGCTTTCTGTCATTCCATGAGGCTGGAGCTACCACTAGCCCTGTTTCACAGATGAGGAGAGGAGGCTCAGGGAAGTTAAGCAACTTGGTACTGAAGTCATTAGCCAGTAAACGGCAGGACTGAGAAGTGAACTCATGTATTGACAACAGGCCTGTCACCATCACATGATGCTGAGTGTCTGAGCAATTGACCAGGCCTCCAGCAGCCTCTTAAGTGGCAGCCACAGCCTCATCCCCCTCTACTCCTACCAACATACTTTGATTAGATGAGTGGGATGGTGCAGGAGGATCTCTTACACATTGTATTGATCCATATCAAATTGTATCTTGTTAGACTTGACCCAACGTTCCAGCAGTGTAGATATTTTTGACCCATAAAATTTCCTCTTAAAGATATTATTTCCTGAATAAGAATAACTGGTGGAGATGCGGCTACTATATGGCCCAGGAAAAGCCTGGCCTGATTGTGAGATTGGGGGACTGAACTAGAAAGCAAGTCCGGCTATGCCACACCAGGAAGAGACGTGCTTAATCCCTGGATAAGGCAAAGGCTGCTTCTCACTGGCACTGAGAAAATCCAGCCATTACCCAGCAATGGGAACCCTGCCAGAATCAAGGTGACTCTAGATGACATGCATTTTCCAGGGCACTAGGCCTGTCAGTGGTTATGGCTGCATTGCTTGGCTTTGACTACCTCTGGGACCAGATTCATCCATGATTCTTACTTGTCCAAGCCTTTGAGAAATACATAACCTCCTCTTGGAGACATATTTGGGCTCTGCCTGCAACTCACCTCTTCTTCTTCTTCTTTTTGTCATCGTTTAAGCCCAGCAAGCTATTGTCAGTGTTTCTTTAATAGAATGTCTATGTTGCCCCTTCCACAGCTGGTTTGCAAAGGTGAGACTCTCCTCCGTTCACAGGGACACATGTGTGTACATGTTAAACACCCACCAGAGAGCTCAATCTGATTTTCTGATCATCCATCTTTGTCAAAATGTGTGGCAGGCAAAGGAGAAATGATGGCATCCATGCACACACACAAACCCAGGTGTGTTCCTACCAGACTCAGCCAGGCGTGATTCCACAGATGGCTCACAGGGATCACTGGAAAATCAAGTCAATACACTTAAGAGGGGTGACCAAGGAGACAGGGCGTCAGTAACACTTTATAAGAAATGTCTGTGTTTCTAACATTTAGCCACTTAAGCATTTTAAAAGGAGGCACACAATTTCTCTATTGGCAAAACCTACTTGGAATTTACAATGCTCAAAAGTATTTGTAAGAAGTATGTGTGTGTATATATGTAGTGTTTAGTATTAAATTAATAAATAATTTTACACATTTTAAACATTTATTTATTTAATAATGTGTGGATAAGTTTTCAAATGTGTACCCATGGCTGAACTTGTATAAGAACTCTGAAAAACACATGAAGAAATGCTGATCCACTTCTGGTAAGCAAAAACCAGAAAATTTAACAAGAGTGCAGTACAAAATCAATATTAAAAGGTCAGTAATTCTCATAGTCAAACAATGATGAATTTGAAGATTTAGCAGAAGGGGAAAAATTTACAAACCCAGATAGCAAGATAAAATACCTAGGAATAAGCTGACCTTGACTGCATAAATCTATATGAAGTCAGTCTCTTAAATAGCAGCAAAAAAGTGCAAAAAAAGGAATGAAAAACATGGAAAGATACACCAAGTTCTTGGGTAGAACTCAATATCATAAAGATTGGTTTTCCCTAAACTATAATAACTTATAAATGTAAAGCAATTGCAATGGAATGTCAATAGGCTGTGTTTTGGGCACTAGATGAGCTGATTTTAAAACTCTAAAGGAAAAACAAACAATCACAAGAACCAGGAAAAAAAGTTAAAAAAAAAAAAAAAAGAATAGCTGGAGGTGCACAGAGACCTAATCAGACCAAGTATTAAAATATACATATTATTGGGAGGCTGAGGCCGGAGAATCACTTGAACCCAGGGGACAGAGGTTGCCGTGAGCCAAGATTGCGCCATTGCACTCCAGCCTGGGCAACCAGAGTGAAACTCCGTCTCAAAAAAAAAATGTGTATATATATATTTAAAAATATATAGAATAAAGCTACAATAATTAAAACAGTGTGGTACAGACATGTGAAAGACCTCAGAAAGATCAATGAAACAGAATACCATTTCTAGAAACAGACTCACATATACACAAGATTTTAGTATACTATAAAATAACAATGAAAATCAATGAAGAAAAGATAAACTTCCAATAAACGGGATTTAGATAATTATATACCAAAAAAAAAAAAAAACCTTTAACAGGACCTCAGATTTAAACGTTTAAAATGGAACCATAAAAATACTTGTAAGAAAAGTGAGGGAAATATTTTATAACTTTGTACTAGGGAATGTTTTCCTATGAACTAAAATTCAGAAGACATAAAAGAAAAAGGAACCAATGATTTTACCATATATAAATCAAACCCTGTTTCATGAAGGGAAAAGGCAAAAAAAAAAAATCAATGAACTGGTTCAATATTTTCAACACATGCCAAAAATCAAGGTATAAAACCCCTGCTATAAAGATTTCCCAAAAATCAGTAGAAAAATAGGCAAAGTACATGAACACATGTCTCGCAGAAAATGAAATACAAATAACTCCTGAGCATGTGATAAGATGCTTAATCTTGTTCAAAAGAGAAATGCAAATTAAAACTGTGCTCTCATACTATTTTTATCCATCAGATTGGCAAAAATCCAAAAGTTTGATAACGCATTCTGTTGATAAAACTATGGAAAAACAGGCACGCTTATACATTGCTGGTGGGAATATAAATTGGCACAACCCTTCTGGAAGAGAATTTTGCAGTATCTACCAAAATTACAAATGCAAAAATCCTTTCACTCTGCAATTCCATTTTTATGTATTTATCTTTATAGATACACTTGCAAAAATGCAAACTGACCTAATTGCAAGATTATTCTATGCAGCACAATTTTTCATAGCACAAGAATGGGTGGAATCTAAATGTTATCATTAGGAAGCTGGTTAAGTAGGTTATGGCACATCTACACAATAAACTACTGTGCACCTGAGAAAAATAGGCAAGCCTTTCTAATACGGAAATACCTCTTAAGACGTGCTATGGAATAAAAAAAAATCAATGTGAAGAAA